>NW_025791765.1:777543-955087 GCF_000001405.40 Homo sapiens | reverse complement strand
AGATCCAAGAAAAATATTCTGTGTCCGTGAAGTTAATGACATGATCCAATGGCTAAAGCCTGGCCAGCAGTGCTCAGTGGGCAGCTGGGAGATTGTGGCCTGGGGTCTGACAAGGGCAGCAGCAATGGCTGCTGGAGTAAAGGGCTCTGGAAATTGGAAACTCATTGACTGGTTTGTCAGTACAGTAGTATCAAGGGAATATATGTACATTTATAGGCAGGAGCTAGGACTACCAAGACACTGATGGAAACGGTAGGCCCCAAATCTGAAAGTTCCAGGTCAAAGCAAGAAGCATAGAGGAACAAAGTTGAAAGTCCAGTTGAGCATAAAAAATGGGTTTGGGCAGTGAGAGCCAGGACAGCAGGAGTTTGAGCCTGGTTTGGCAGGGCAGAGGAGCGAGATGAGGTGTCAGAGTAATAGTCCTGCTTCCTAGGGAGTAGTACCTGATCTAAAAAGATTGTGAAAAATTTCCCAGAGGTAGACAGAAAGTTCATATCCGGTTGGGGAATCAGTAAAGGCCTGTGGGGCTTTGAAGGATAAGCAGGGTTTTGAGCAGCAGAGCTGGTTATCAGGGAAGAGAAGGAATCATGGTGGAAGAGTCAGAATGAGCAATGGCACTGGTATGGGACAAACGCAAGGCATGCTTGGTGAACAGCTTAGACCAGTCGCACGCAGCAGGGGTGGAGGGGAGAGGATGCTGCCAAATCTCAGAGGGAAGGGAATTTGCCTGGCTTTTTAACCTGATTCCTTCCCTTTCATTTTGGCTTCATGGAGTGGAGGGATTTGAATGGCAGGCTATAGCATTTAAGCATTGTTCTGCAGACAATGAGAAGACAATAGGTGTGTTGGAAAGTTGAGGGCAGAGCTCATTTCTGAGGCAAAGAATTGGCATTCAATTCAATAGAAAATGAGCTGTCAAGTGTCACAGAACACTGTTTTCTCCCCAATTGGATTGTTTCCTATTTGATTCCTAAACCCTCCCTGAAATTTCAGCCTTTCAAAAGTTGATGCTGCTCCAGGGAAGGCAGGTAAGCCCCATGCTGCTGCAGCTCTGTCTGCCTGCATCTGTCTGCTCCATGCTCACTGTCCTTGCCAGCCTGCTGGACCATTCTTCAGCCCCAGCTGAAATATCATACGCCATTTTTTCACATTTTTACATTCCTGCCTTTGGGAAGCATCTTACATTCATGTCAAATGACACTTACCAGCAGTCAGACAGAGAAGTATACTGCGAGGGGGTTGTCATTGCCTGCACATATGCAAGTTTAGCCATGTGTGACCGTATCAGATGATTTGACTGTCACTTCAGTTGAGCTATTTGCATTGGTAGCACCAGGCAAGACTGAATTTAAACTTGAATTCAGGTCCCTAATCCTAATCTTAAATGACTCTTAAAAGAGTATGTATGATGCAGGCTGGATGCAGTGGCTCATTCCTGTAGTCCCAGCTACTTGGGAGGCTGAGGTGGGAGGGTCACTTGAGCCCAGAAGTTCAAGGCTGCAGTGAGCTATGATCATGCCACTGCACTCCAGCCTTGGCGACAGAGTGAGACCCTGTCTCTAAAAACATAAAAAGATTATATGTGATACAGAACTGAAACTAAAAATAATGCAGAATGCAAAAGACTCTGAGGGTAAGCCTGTGGTTTTTAAATGTGGCATAAAGAGGACCATTTCCCTCTTCTCTGAGAAATCACCCAAAAGTGAGAAGGAGAATAAGAAACAGGAACAAAACTCTATCTTGAAAGAAATTAAGAGACATCTGAACCCTGAACCAAAATAGAAGAGGAAGGACTTCCAAATACAGTGAAGGTCAAGCAGGCGTGTGGGAAGATAATGAGAGAGGATGCCCACAGATGGAACCATCAGTCAAACCAGGAAAGCCTAGTTCCTCAAAGTAAGGGACATGCCCTGAGTAGCAAAGCCAACAGCCCCTTTTTGGACCAATAGGAACAGTCTAGAGGTTTGTGACTGGAGACTCCCTAGGCTGGTTAAATCCATAGTCTGAACAACTAAGAAAGGCAGGACTGAGTGAGAAAAAACACAGACAAGCTAGGCTGGCATTCTGATGGTGAGGCAGCATGGTGCAAACTGTCTTACCCTGCTTATGGTATCTGGGAAAAATAGAGGATAAAAGAACTTTCTCACATACACACACAGCCATCTTTAGCCGGGAACATAGCACTAGCCCCTCTTCAATCTAAGCCTCTAGGAAGAATTCACCTCTTTACAAAATATTTTTTCTTAAAAGTCATAGGATCTAAACAAAGATACCACAATAAAGGAAAAGATGAAAGTAACAGTCGAGAAGTGGCATGAAAAACCCTCACCAAAAAAGCCATTGCCATGAAACAGATGAAAAGTTAACCAAACGCAGTGCCAGAAATTTAAAAAAGCAATTAATGAAGCATTTAGTCTTTTCAAAGGAGAGCATGAAACACAAATTCGAGAGCCCAGGAAAGACATGGCAAGGCACAGAGAGAGATGAAATGTGAGTTGGCAGAGCATGGAAAAGCAGGGAGATAAAAAGTGAAACCATTTCAGAAACACAGGCTGGGCGCAGTGGCTCATGCCTGCAGTCCAAGCTACTTGGGAGGCTGAGGTGGAAAGATCACTTGAGCCCAGAAGTGAAGCAATACTCAAGAGAAGAAACTGAGTTGGAAACACGGTAAGATAAAGGGGAGAGAGAATTGAGAAAGGTGAGCAAAGTGAAATTAAAATGACCAGAGAGTTTAAAATGATTGCAGAGGATATCTTCAGTTACGATGGGCTGGTTAGTATCAGACCAGCTTTCCCCATGAGAATACCACCAGACTGAGCCCAGGAGAGGGAATTAAGGAATGGGAAAATAAGTAAGTTGAAAATACCTAAATTGAAGTCCTGAAAGGAAAAACAAAGAGTAGAAAATATAAAAAGGGCATAAGAGACATCTGGGACGTGGTGAAAAAGTCTGACATGCACTGCAGATAATCTGGCTTGTAATTTTCCAAAAGTGATAGAAGATATCAAGTCACAGGTTAAAGAATCCTCCCAGGATACATGTAATGAAAACCACACCCAGGCACATTGTAAAAAGGATAAAGGGAAAATTTTAAGGACATTTTTAAAACAGAAAAGGGAATAAAAACACATTACATTCAAAGATACAATGACACTTCTAGTTAACTTTCAACAGAAGTTGTAAAAGCCCAAAGAAATGCATTGTCATCTTTCAAGTCCTGAAAGAAGACAATGGCCAACCTGAAATTCTCTTCCCAGAGAAAACAGGATTCAAAAGCTGCAGAGATGGTCATTTTCAAAAACTCAAACAAACAAAAAATCAAGAAACCTGAGAGACTGTATTACCAGCAGAGTCCACTAATAGAGAACTGAAGAGGTTTTCTTTAAGCAGGTAGAGATTGATCTTAGCTGGAGGTGCAAGAAGGAATGAAGAGAACCAGCAGAAACATGAGGATAAATCTAAGTCAATACTGAGTTTTAAATAGTATTTTTATTGAGGATCTTATATGTTCAATTAAAACACATAACAGCAATAGTATAAAAGGCAAGAAGAAGGTAATAAAATCAAAGTGTTCTGGTCAGGTGTGGTAGCTCATGCCTATAATCCCAGCGCTTTGGGAGGCTGAGGTGGGAGGATCCCGTGAGCCCAGTTTAAGACCAGCCTGGGCAACATAGCAAGACCTTGTCTTTACCAAAAATCTAAAAAATTAGCAAGATGCAGTGATGCGCACCTGTAGTCCCAGCTTCCCTGGGGTGGGGTGGGGCATCGGTGGGAGGATTGCTTGAGCCCAGGAGGTGGAGGCTGTAGTTAACTGTGATTGTGCCACTGCACTCTAGCCCCAGTGACAGACTGAGACCCTGTCTCCAAAACTACATATAATAAAGCATTCTAAGGTCGTTGCACTGTCTGAAAAGTGGTGAAAGCATTAATTTAAGGGACACTCACAAAGTCAAAAATGCATTTTGCAATCTCTAAGGCAAGCGAATAATAAGAGAATATGTAACTAATAATAAAGGAAGGGGCATGAAATGGAATAACAAAAACACAACCAAAAAAAGGTTGTTAATCTAAAAGAAGTCAAGAAAGGATAAATATTAAAAAACAATGAAAATATAGAACAAATAGAAAAATGGATAAGACGGTTGATTTAAACCCAGATATAGAATTAATTATATTAATGTAAATGAACTAAGTAATTAAAAACCGAAAACATTGTCAGACTCAATTAAAATGAGCCAAAAACTATGCTGCTTAAAAGAAATATTTTAAATATAGAAACTATGAAAGGTTGAAATTAACAGGATAGAAAAAATATAACCAAAAGTAAATTGTGTAGCTTTGCTATATCAGACAAAGTAGACTTTAAGACAAGAACTATTATTAGAGACAAAGAACATTTTATAATAATAAAAGAGTCAATTTAACAAGAAAATGTGATTATTCTAAATAATCCAGAAGTCAACATAGAAATCACAATGGAAATTATGAAATATTTTAAATGATAAAAAAAACAGACAATGTATGGCATTCAGCTAATGTCATACTTAGAGGGAACTTTGTGGCATTAAATGCATTTATAATGGGAGAAAAAGGCTGAAAAGCAATTACCTAAGTAACTATTTCAAGAAACCTAGAAGATAATCATCAAATTAAAACCAAAAGAAATAGAAAGAAGAAAATAATAAAGAACAAAAATCAATGTAATAAAAAACAAACATGCAATACTTAAAAATCTAAGAAGCCTAAAATTAGTTTTTAGACTAATAAAATTGATAATCTCCTACCTGAACCAATGAAGAAAAATAGAGAAAAAGCATAAAACACCAACATACAGTTATAAAGATCCTAAAGACAATAAGAGGATAATGAGAAGGCAATATAAATAACTTGATACCAATAAACTTAGACATTTAGATGCAATGAGCAAATTCCTCGAAAAGCACTATTTTCCAAAATAGTCACAATGAGGAATAAAAAATATAAGTCATTCTATATTTATTAGGTAAAAATGAATATATAATTTAAAATCTGTCACAAAGAATAAGCTAAGCTCTGATGGTGCCAATAGAAAATTTCTCCCAATATCCCACGATATTATGTAAACCTTTACAGAGAAAAGACAAAAAGATTAAGAGGCCAGCACAACATAAATTGTATCACAACCTGAAACTTCAGTTAAAAAGTTTGTTGTTGTCGTTGTTTGAGATGCAGTCTCGCTCTGTCACCCGGACTGGAGTACAGTGACGCGACCTCTGTTCACTGCAACCTCTGAGTAGCTGGGATTACAGGCGCCCACTATGATGCCCGGCTCATTTTTGTACTTTAAGTTGAGACAGGGTTTCACCATGTTGGCCAGGCTGGTCTCAAACCCCTGATCTCAGGTGATCTGCCCACCTTGGCCTCCTAAAGTGCTGGGATTACAGACGTGAGCCACCGCATCAGGCCAAAAAGTTTACTTTAAAAAGAATCCACTAGAACAGCAGTCCCCAACCTTTTTGGCACCAGGGACTGGATTCATGGAAGATAACTTTTCTACAGATGGGAAGGCTGTGGGGTGGTTTCGGGATGAAACTGTTCCACCTCAGATCATCAGGCATTAGATTCTCATAAGGCACGTACAACCTAGATCCTTCTCATGCACAGTTCACAATAGGGTTTGTGCTCCTTTGAGAATCTAATGCCACCGCTGATCTGACAGGAGGCAAAGCTGGGGCGGTAATACTCCTTGCTCACCCACCTCCTGCTGCACGGCCCAGTTCCTAACAGGCCACGGACCAGTACCAGTCCACGGCCCAGGTATTGGGGACCCCTAGTCTATCCTGTTGGAAAGTCTCTAGTTATATAATTACAAGTTTGTTGGATGCTTCTGACTGGTTGAGCTTAAGTTCTGTTTTCCTTTAATACAAATATTTACAAGAAATAGCTCGAGTTAAGTTTTGCTTATGTTTACAAATCAAGCAAGGTCGTGGTCATTTGTGAGGCCTGACTTATGGTTCTGTCTGCTCAGGGGTTCTTCAGACCTGGTCTCCATTTTAATGGACTGTATCATTAGAGCCTGCCTGCATCCAATGACTGTACCTCTCTTCATGTAGAACCCTCTCTTATGAGGATAAGAATTTCTGTATAGCTTTGCATAAATGAAACCAAGGATGCAGGCTCTGCAGCAGATTTAAGAGATTTTCTAAGGCACTTCTGGTTCTGCTTGATTTTTGCCTCTGGGCTAATTACGACACATTATCTGCTCATCAATTTCGATGCCACCGCATAACAGATAGAGAGGATGTAGTGTGAGAAGATAGATTCTACATACCCACGCACACACACACACAATTGAGGGGAGGATGAGGGGGAAAAGGATTTATGCATGTACAGGCATTTCTGCCTTCACCTGAAGCATAGATAAGAACTCAGGAGTTCTCATCAGCGTGGACTTCCCCGGCAGAGGAACTGAATATGCAAAGACATGGAGGCATAAAGGTCGAGGCTTGTTGAAAAACTAAGGAGTCACTTGTGTTTCCTCTCTCTGGTGAGGGGACATTAGCTCATGATCCTGACAGAGGGATAGACTGCTGACATTTTCTCTTTGGTTCCTAGTGTTAAATCTAGTTAAATGGTTCCAATGGGCTGGGAGTGCAATTAACAAGCAGCAAGAGCACCCCAGGGACACTGGTTATGGAGTCCTCTTAGGGCAGCACTGCCCAATAGAACTTTCTGTGATCATGGAAATGTTCAGCAGCTACACTGTCGAATATGATAGTCACTAGCCATATGTGACCATTTAGCATTTGTGGCCAGTGGGAATGAGGAAGTGAATTTTTTTTTGAGATGGAGTCTTACTCTGTTGGCCAGGCTGGAGTGTAGTGGTGCCATCTCGGTTCACTGCAACCTCTGCCTCCCGGGTTCAAGCAATTCTCCTGCCTCAGCCTCCCTAGTAGCTGGGACTACAAGCATGTGCCACCACACCCAGCTAATTTGTGTTTTTTTAGTAGAGATGGAGTTTCACCATATTGGACAAGATGGTCTTGAACTCCTGACCTCAGGTGATCCACCTGCCTCAGCCTCCCAAAGTGCTGGGATTACAGGCGTGAGCCACCACACCCGGCCAGGAAGTGAATTTTTAGTTTCAGTTAATTTAAATTTAACTAAGCTTGAATTTAAATAGGTACATGTGGCAATACATAACAGCAGCTCTGGGGACACCCTCCATGATCACAGCTCCTGGTCCTCCAGTCTGCTGTGGCAATTCCCCATAGGCTTTTCCCTTCTACCATTCGTTAGCATTTCTTGAGCAATTACTATGGGTAGAGTTCTGAATTCGATGCTGATGGGAGCAAACGATGGAACAGGCATGGTCCCTGACTTCTAGGAGCTTGTGTTCTAGAGAGACAGAACTAAGGGAAGGCCACTCGGTGAGTGCAGTGGCCAGAAGGGCCCAGGGTTCTGGGACAGCACGAGGAGGGCTGCAGCCCTGTCTGTTGTTCAGGGGTGGCTTCTCAGAAGGCAGAGGCATGAGGCTGAACTGGCACTGGGAATGGAGGTTGGGGAAGGGCCAAGTGGAGGAGGCGGCGCCCTGCTGTTGTCATGGCAACACTGGGGCCCTGGCATTCATAGCCTGCCCCTGTGCTGCTATGTAATGAAGCCACCAAACTGTGGTAGGGAATTGCCATTCATGTAATTTATTTTTATACCTTATTTCCTCCCTGAAACAGTTGAGGAGAATTGTGAGAGCAAACACACAGCACAACAGGATAAAAATAGCCCTTCAAGTGAAGGGAAAGCAAGGAGACCTGGTCAGATGAAGCCGGAGGGCTCCAGGGTAATCTCCAGCCCTGGGGAGCCGTCAGATGCGTTACTCACATAGAGACGGCCTGCCCGCTGTGTTATCTGGGAGCCCAGGCACTTGGCATCACTGCAGCCTGGTCCTGGGCAGGCCCAAAGATGGGAGTAATTTGAGGAAGCAGAACCATGGGGTCCTCTCAGTTTCATAAGTGCTGAAGGACATAGAACTGAACCCTTGACCTAGCACCCAGTGATGGGTGGAATCGTGTTCCCCGGAAAAGATATGTTGACTGACATCCTAGCCCCCTGTACAGTGTGAGCACTGTAACCTTATTTGGAAATGGGGTCTGTCCAGATGTAATCAAGTTGAAATGAAGTCAGTCATTCAGGTGGGCCCTAATCCAGTATGACTGGTATCCCTATAAAAAGGAGAAATCTGAACACAGAGACAGACACGCAGAAAGAAGATGGCCACGTGAAGAGGGAGGATTGGGGCAATGCACCTACAAGTCAAGAAAAACCAACGTCTGCTGGCAAACTGGTAGAAGCTAGGGAGAGGCAAGGAAAGGTCTTTTCCCTGCAGGTTGCAGAGGGAGGTGGCCCTGTCCACACCTTGATTCCGTCCTTTCAACCTCCAGAATTGTGAGATAATCATTTCCGTTCCTCGAAGCCACCTTGTTTGCAGTGTTTTTTTACAGCAACTCTGGGAGGCTCAGACACACCCTGATTCACAACTTGCTGCTTAAAAGGCTGTTGGAATGAGGGCCAGCTTGGGAGCATGTGAGGGGCTGAGACTGTGAGGTCAGGGGCCAAGGGGGACTGTATAGCAGAAGGTGCCCAGTGTGGGGAAAGGAGGAATGTGTCAATGACAGGGATTGTTCCTAACTCGAGAAACCTTCTTCACCATTAATTTCACTTCTATTGTACCACAAGGAATGGAAGGAGACCACACATACAGAAATTTCAGTTCACTCACAGTCTTAGAAAGACTTCCCATTTCCTGATCAGTGTTCTACTTGTTTCTGGGTTTTTGGCTGTTTTTTAAAGTTTCTAATGTCTTTGACTAATCATTTTTCTACATAGTCTATAACACTTTATTTTAACTTTATGTTAAAATACAAATAGCCAATTATAACTAATTTGTACCTTTCATTCCATGTCAGAATCACAGACAATGTGACTTGTCACACCTGACAGAGTTTGGACATGCCCCTAGGTGACTAGTCACTGAAAATGAAAAACTATTTAAAAGAATAATTTTTTTAAAAATGTAAGGAGAGGTGGGGTGGCAAGGCCAACTACTTTAGTCTGCCTTAGTGTAGAGCAAAGCTCCAACATCTACTGTACAATTTTTGATTTCTAAGATTTGGTTACATAACAGCACCCCAATGTCAGTTGGTCTTTGTTTTTTTTTGAATAATTTTTAGTGCTTCAGTTTCCTTATTTGCAAAGGAGCAACAATAATATCACTACCTCATAGGGTTGTTGAGGGCTTAGAGGTTAACTTGGCGCCATGCTTGGCACGTGGTTAGTGCTCCAGGACATTAGCATGGGTGTCTCCTCTACACTGTTCCTGACTCATGAAAACACTGCCAGTGCTTGACCCTCACCAACGACCGCACTCTACCAGCTCCCTGCACAGCCCATCCCAGTTTAAACAGCTTAAATGTTAAAATGTTCCTCCTTACTCTAAGTCCATGAAATTCTGCTACTAGAAATTTAAAATTAAGAAGTGAGTCGGGCCAGGTACAGTGGCTCACGCCTGTAATCCCAGCACTTTGGGAGGCCAAGGCAGGCAGATCATGAGGTCAGGAGATTGAGACCATCCTGGCTAACACGATGAAACCCCGTCTCTACTAAAAGTGGAAAAAATTAGCCAGGCGTGGCGGCGGGCGCCTGTAGTCTCAGCTACTCGGGAGGCTGAGGCAGAAGAATCGCTTGAACCCAGGAGGCAGAGGTTGCAGTGAGCCGAGATCGTACCACTGCACTCCAGCCTGGGCGACAGAGCAAGACCCTCTCTCAAAAAAAAAGAGAGAATGTCTTTGTAAGTAATACATGCACGTGTGATGGGGCATCAGATCAGCAACTTACTGTCAAATGGCCCTGGGAAAAAGTTCTTCATTGTATACTTGGAGAGAGTTTAATAAAAAGACTCAATCTTGTTAAGATGGCGGTACTCTCCAATTTGATCTGCAGAATCAGTGAAATCTCTATCAAAATCCTAACTGGTTTCTCTGAAGAAACTAACAAGCTGATTCTAAAAATTGATATGGGAGAAGGAAGATTCTTTTCAACAGATAGTGCTGGGAAACTAGATATCCGCCTGCAAAAAGAATGAGGCTGAATCCTTACCTCACAGTATATATAAAAATTAACTCAAAATGGATCAAAGCCATAAATCTAAGAGCTGAAACTCTAAAGCTCTTAGAAAAAACAGAAGGGTAAATCTTTATGACTTTGGATTAGAAAAATGCTTTCTTAGCTATAACTCTAAAAGCACAAGCAACCAAAGAATATACATATAAATTGGACTTAGCCAAAATTAAAACCTACTGTGCTTCAAAGGATACTACCAAGAAAGTGAAGAGACAACTTAGCAGCTTTTTAAATAATAGCCCCAAACTGGAATCAACCCACATGTCCTTTAATGGGTAACTGGTTAAACAAACTGTGGTACATTCATACCATGAATACTATTCAGCAGTAAGAAGGAATAGACTACTGACACATACAATAACTTGAATGGACCTCAAGGGCACTATGCTGAGTGAAAAAAAAGCCAACCTCGGCTGGGCGAGGTGGCTCACGCCTGTAATCCCAGCACTTTGGGAGGCTGAGGTGGGCGGATCACCTGAGGTCGGGAGTTCGAGACCAGCCTGACCAACATGGAGAAACTCCATCTCTATTAAAAATACAAAAATTAGCCAGGTGTGGTGGCGCATGCCTGTAGTACCAGCTACTTGGGAGGCTGAGGCAGGAGAATTGCTTGAACCTGGGAGATGGAGGTTGTGGTGAGCCAAGATTGCGCCATTGCACTCCAGACTGGGCAACAAGAGTGAAACTCTGTCTCCAGAAAAAAAAAAGGAAAAAAAAAAAAGAAAAAAAGCCAACCTCAAAAGGTTACATACTGCATGATTCCTTTATATGACATATGACATTCTTTTTTTTTTTTTTTTTGAGACAGAGTCTCGCTGTGTCACCCAGGCTGGAGTGCAGAGGCATGATCTCGGCTCACTGCAACCTCTGCCTCCCAGGTTCAAGCCATTCCCGTGCCTCAGCCTCGCAAGTAGCTGTGATTACAGGCACACGCCACCATGCCTGGCTAATTTTTTTTGTGTTTTTATTAGAAACAGGGTTTCACCATGTTGGCCAGGCTGGCCTCCAACTCCTGACCTCAGGTGATCCACTCACCTTGGCCT
Source organism: Homo sapiens (assembly GCF_000001405.40). Classification (NCBI taxonomy): domain Eukaryota; kingdom Metazoa; phylum Chordata; class Mammalia; order Primates; family Hominidae; genus Homo; species Homo sapiens. The sequence continues at coordinate 943,889 of NW_025791765.1, read as the reverse complement.
CCCAAAGTTCTGGGATCATAGGCATGAGCCACCATGCCTGGCTGGTGCTTCTTTAACTATATTTTGGGGAGTTATTTTCTTGGTGTTTGCCTTTGGGATACTATTAGCCTCTTAATTTATAAAAATCAAATTGTATTGATACCAAATTAATTTCAATCAGATTTAAAAACTTTGCTTATACATAGCTCTGTTTCCTCCCCTTCCTTTGTGCTGTCTGTGTCATGTGAATTATATCCTTATACATTGTGTACCTATCAACATAGTTTTACAATTATTGCTTTATTGCAATTGTCTTTTAAATCAGATAGGAGACGCCGGGTGCGGTGTCTCACACCTATAATCCTAGCACACATTTGACTGCAGAACTCAACTCTCCCAGAGACAGTAATCTGCAGAACATAATTGAGACTTGGACTTTATGCTTGGATATCTTCCAGCTGTGCCCATTCTCTGACCTGCCATGCTCTCCCATATTGCCACACCTCTGAACCCTACTTCCTCTGCTTTGAAACCCTTTACGCTCCCACATTTATCTGATTAACTATTCATCCTTCAAAACTTATCCTAACCATCTTCATCTTCCTGAAGCCTTCCCCACCTCCCTCTCATAGAATTGGCCACTCCTTCTCCTGAGATTCCCGAGCACTTTGTAGAAACATCCACTGAGTCATCATTTGCCATGCTGCAATATAATTATATGTTTACATGGCTCTTCTTGTGACCTCCTTGTGGGGACTGTCACCTCCTCAAGAGCAGTGACCAATCTGATTCATCTAGATGTCCTCAACGCACAATATAAGGCCAGGCATTGGCAGCATCATAACCGTTGAGTGAGCAATTCTTACTTCCAAAGATGACAGCCAGTGGAAATCAAGGATCATGACCAAGATGATCCACCCTGCAATATTTAGCAGCATTAAGACAAGTCACTGCAATCCTCTGAGGCACAGTATTTCATGATGACTAGGAGCACAAACTCTGGGGCCTGATGGCCAGGGTTCATATCTACACTTTATCACTTGCTATCTGTATAACCTGGAGCAACTCATTTAACTCCCTTTAGCCTCAGATTCCCCATCTGGAAGATGAGGATAGTAGCCTCCTCTACCTGATGGGATGTGTGGGGATTAAATGAGATAATTCATGTAACAGAGCTACCAAGCCCGACACATAGAAAGCACTCAGTGAGCAGTGGCTGTTTATGTTATTACCTTTTCCTGCTTGTCACCTGCCTGCCACCACCTCCCCTCCTATGTTCAGTCAGTTATCAGCAGGCTCCCCTCTAGCTTCCTTACCCCTGACCTCCTGCCTGTCACTATCACCCATGACCAACACTTGTCCACCCATTCATACCCAGGGGCAGCCTGAGCTGCCAGCATGCACCCATCCTCACATGTACCTCCAGGGCTGTATGCACAGGCCCAACTCATCCCTCAAGGCCAGATTCAAGCTGAGTCTGCCTGTGAAGCTTCACCAACCCTTGGCCTCTCCCTTCCCTCCTGTAGCATTCATCTGGCCCACGTGATGAGCATTTGGCCATGTACCCCCATTGTTTCACATAGGCCAGAGTTCCTCCCTCAGAAAGATGACAGTCCTTCTGGGCAGAGGCCTAAGCTCATTCCATTTCCTTCTGTGACTGGCTCCTAAATTCAAGACCCAGGCAAGGGCCATGGCAGGATACTGAGAGTGCAACAGCACATCACGCCGTCTCTATACATGTCCCTTGAGGTCGCAATGATGAGATAGCAGCAGTCCCACAACCAGCTGCCTCCAGAGTCCAGGCAGCAGGTTCTATGTGAGATCTTCAAGGTTTTAGATAACTAAACCTTATACTCAGAGGTGTGATGTTATCTAAAATGGTTTGATGATCTTGGGCTGCATGAATAGAAGCTCAGTTTCCAGGACAAAGGCAAGGGTTTTGTGTCTTCTCAACTGGTGTGACATTGTGTTTCATCCCTGCACACTGATGGACTGTCATAGCAACACCAAGAATACACAAAAAAAGGGAAGCACCAATGTCTAGTAGTCTAGAAACGACCTCTGATGGGGAACAGCCAGAAACATAAGAATTTTCCATTAAGAAAATATAATCATGTGATGTCCTTTAATAAAGATTTTTAGGGTTTTTTTTTTAACCTTAAAATCTAGCATTCATAGTGATGTAGCTACAACATCCTAGCAAGCTGTTGTTATTGTTTTTTCAAAAAAAATCAAATTGCCATCTGCTAAACCTTGTTGATAAATTTATTTCGAAACATGCTTTCTTCTTCCTTTCTCCCATCCCAATCTTAATTATAGAAGAGCCAGCCCACAGTACTCTCCTCCAATCAGGGCTTTAAAACACTATGAGCTATCTCACACGAAATGTGAGGTCTGGAAATCAGTGGGAAGAATAGTCTGTAAACTGAGCATTCAGTGTAGGAAGACAGTGAATATTATCTTGAAAAACTGGAATTATGTTACTGAAGAAGTGTAAGGTGACTATTCATGTCTACATGAGATCGTAAGGAAGAGAGACTCAGCAGACACAGCCAATGGTGGGACCCACACTGCAAAACCTAATGATGATTAAACAGTCTGAGAGGCTTAAGATGCTCAGAGAAACAAAGGAAAGGACAGAATCCACAGGGCAGGGAGAGGATATTGGGGAAAATAAGGAAGCAAATAGAAATAAAATAGCCATTAAGGTTAAAACACTCCCTAGGCAAGTTAAACTAGATGACTAGATAGAGGACTTGTAGTTTGGAAGATGATTCTAAGGAAATCAGACCAAAACACAGAGAAAGAGCAGAAATTATGAAAGTGAAATCAACGTAATGTGAAGAGTAGAATGACAAATTCAATATAAATCTAAATAGGGATTTGAAGCAGAGAATAGGGAGAGTGAGGGAGAGGCAACATATTGAAGAGATAATGGAGGAGAATTCACCAGAATTGAAGAAGGGTGAGTGCTCAAACTGAAAAGGCACACGAATTATGAGCAGAATACATGAAAATAAATCCACCTGCAGTCGCACTGTAGTGATGCTGAGGAGTGTCAAATACAAAGACCAAATATTAAGATTTTCTTAAGAAAGGGAACTAATGTAAGTTACTGAGAAGCTATATCCTGTCTTTTCTGCTGGGCTGGTGGGCTGGTGGCTGGTGGCTGGTGGGTTGGTGGGCTGGTGGGCTGGTGGGCTGGTGACTGGTGGGTTGGTGGGATGGTGGGCTGGTGGCTGGTGGGTTGGTGGGATGGTGGGCTGGTGGCTGGTGGCTGGTGGGCTAGTGACTGGTGGGCTGGTGGGCCGGTGGTTGGTGGCCTGCTGAGCTAGTGGCTAGTGGGCCGGTGGGCTGGTGGGCTGGTGGCTGGTGGCTGGTGGCTGGTGGGCTAGGGGCTGGTGGGCTGGTGGGTGGTGGGCTAGTGGCTGGTAGGCTGGTGGGCTGGTGGACTGGTGGGCTGGTGGCTGGTGGTCTTCAACTTCCAGCCAGAGAATGCAGCAAGAACTGAGAAGTAGCCAGTTACTCTCCAAGTGAAGGTTAGGCTACTTGAGTGAGACATTTAGACCAAGAAGAAGGTGGCAACTTCATCCAAACCACTCTGCAAGGCCTCGTTGTTAAGATATGTTGATAACGTGGGCTTGGGCTTTCATTCTTTAACATGGGTGGGCATGCATGTGCGTGCATGTAGGGCAGTGGTGTTGGGCATCTTAAATTATCTGCAATCCATCTCCTACTTTTTAGTAATGTACATAAAAGGATAATGAAAGTCTCCCAAAGCAAAAGTTCTCAATCCTAGCTGCAGGTGAGAATACACTGACGCCCAGGCGGGCCCATGTTTAAACTCTCTGGAGAGTGACATCAATGATATAGATGAGTCTGTGTCACGGGGCCTCCTCCTCTGTCCATGTCCTGAAGGAACTCAGCCAGTGTGCCTGCAATACGTGTCAACTGCCTCTCTGAGCATCAAGTCCCGTGAGGGTCCCTGAGCCGTGATGGGGTTGCTGGTCCCCTGCGTTCTCCACCCTCTCGTAATCATGGTTGTGTCCACTGCATGCCCCCAGTCCTGTTGTAAACTTAAGCTTCACCACAGGCAGGGAAGAAAGACACTTTCTCTTTAGACAACTGGCTCGGCTAAAATGTAAATATGACCTTTGGGAACTGCTAACCTGACCACCCGAGGGTTGATTCCAGTAAAAAGAATATCTTCATCATTTTCACTTGCAGAATTACAAAGACATGACAAACATCGCGTTCTGTTTTAAACATCGTCACCCAGAAAGCTTTACCCCGGCTTTGGAGTCAGAGTCTGCTGGGATGTACTTGTTGAAACCACTTCTTTCGCATGTGGGAGGCTACACAAATTCCTGTGGTTTTGGGACCTTCAGTTTCTTCATCGGTAAAAAGAATGAGGGGGCTGGACTGGACTTTTGGCTTGTGGTCCGTGGGATACAGGGTTCAGACCTCCAGGAAACTCTCCAAATCAGGGCCTTTGCAGATAGGACCCAGGCTTTTGTATTTTAAGAAGCCCCCACAGATGATACTGACATACACTGCTGGCTACTGACCTCGATTACTTTAATTCCTAACATTTTATATTAAAACCCCCAGTTTGCAGACAAAGTAAAACAGTGTCTAATAATAGTGCTAAAAATTCCCTCACAAAATTTTAGTACTATGATTCCATTTAAATTGGATTTTTTCAATTATTTAGATAAATAATTAATTTATAATGAAAGAAATCCAAGTACCAACGCTGTATTAACCAATATGGCTCTAATATATATATACTCATCATTTAAGTGAAACAAAGTACTTGGTTTAGGAGGAATACTAATAAGAAATGCCTTAGTTAGGAAATGTTCTAAAACATTCATGATGAAAAAAGGGCAGTGTAGGAGTCTCCAAGCAAAACTACCTCATTTCATTACCAAATCATTAGACCTCAGAATCAGGTCTTACATCAGGGATGAAAATAAAGAACTGAAACTTACCCTGGAATTGAGAACAGAAACTGAAGCCATGGCTAAAAAGCAGAAGATAGCTGTAGAGAAAGCACCTTCTTGTCATAGCACCCAGTGGGTGAGCAAGGAAAAACTGATGAAAGGAAAATCCTGGTGGGCGAGGCTCAGGGTGCCACTGAGTGCTGGTCTCTCTGGCCTGTGTGGAGAGGCAGGAGCACTGTCTCAGCATCTGAGGATGAACTAGACACTACACCCCAGCACAGGTAGGGCGCACCTCAACTCCGACCCCTCACCTCTGGGCAAAGGTGGGGCAGGACTACAACTCTAAAGCTATTAAGTGCCTCATCCTGTCAAAGTCAAGCCTCAGAATAGAAACTGAGTTGACTTATAGAAAAATGAAGTTGTTTTTCCTTGCACATTTGTGGACTGGTACATATATATCCCCGCCACAGAGTCGCTGTGGTCGTTAGCTTTGTTTAACTCTGCTCTTTGGCTCAAATGGAGATCTTGGCATACCCTGAGTACCTTCCGGCTCCTTCTTTTTTTTTTTTTTTTTTTTTTTTTTTTTGAGATGGAGTTTTGCTCTTGTTGCCCAGGCTGGAGTGCAGTGGCGTGATCTCAGCTCACCGCAAACTCCGCCTCCCAGGTTCAAGCAATTCTCCTGCCTCAGCCTCCTGAGTAGATGGGATTACAGGTGTGCGCCACCACCCCAGCTAATTTTGTATTTTTAGTAGAGACGGGGTTTCTCCATGTTGGTCAGGCTGGTCTTGAACTCCCGACCTTAGGTGATCCTCCCACCTCGGCTTCCCAAAGTGCTGGGATTACAGGCGTGAGCCACCGCGCCTGGCCTTCCTGCTCCTTCTACTTCTTCAAGTATAGATTGCTCCTTCCTCCCTCCATTAGCAGTGGGAGAATTTATTCATTCACTCCCTCATTTCATTCATTCGTTCTATAAACACCACATGTCAGAGACAACACAAATGTCAGGCACATGTCAGGCAACACGTCAGGCAACACACATAATAGCAGGAGGCTGCGCATGGTGGCTCATGCCTGTAATCCCAGCACTTTGGGAGGCCAAGGCAGGCATATCACCTGAGGTCAGGAGTTTAAGACCAGCCTGGGGAACATGGTGAAATCTTGTCTCTACTAAAAGTACAAAAATTAGCCAGGTGTGGTGGTGGGTGCCTGTAATCCCAGCTACTCAGGAAGCTGAGGCAGGAAAATCGCTTGAACCCAGGAGGCAGAGCTTGCAGTGAGCCAAGATCATGCCACTGCACTCCAGCCTGGGCAATAAGAGTGAAACTGTGTCTCAAAAAAAAAAAAAAGAAACGGAAAGAAGGAAGGAAGGAAGGAGAGAGAGAGAAAGAAAGGAAGGAAGGAAGGAAGGAAGAAGAAAAAGAAAGAGAAAGGAAGGAAGGAGGAAAGAAAGAAAGAAAAAGAAAGAAAGAAGAGAAAGAAAAGCAGAGAACAGGACAAGTTCCTTTTCTCCTGAAGACTACATTTTGAAGGTGAGCGACAGACAGTAAACAAATAAATATATAATGTGTCAAGTGGTGACAAGTGCTCTGAAGATAAATATAGTAGGGAAAAGGAATGAAGAGAGACAGGAGGCAGATGCTATTTTAGAGGTGGTCAGGGAGGCCTCTATGTTGACCTGACATTTGAGCAGAGAGGTCTGTGAACTTATAAAAATGCTTTATACACAGGATAACCACAGATAATCAGCCAACTGGCACAGTAGGGGAACTATTCCCTCAGCAGTACACCCAGAGCCTTGTCACAGTGTAAGGCTGGATCAAATGACCTCTAAAAGAGGCGTAATTGCCAGCTGGGTATGCATCCCCACTGATGAAAGGGAAGCTGACCAAAAATAAAAACTGGTAGCACTAGAAATGGGCTCCCATTCAAAACAATGTTCCTGTAAACATATATTGAATTACTTATCAAAAGAGTAGACTGACAAAATCTAAATACCTAAAACTATCCAGAGTATTTCCCAATCATGTTTTTCCTTATACTGCATTGATCCGAAAATGTCGAGGAAAGGTTTAGAAATGCATGCTCCCCCAGGCACAGAGGCTCACTCCTGTCATCCCAACACTTTGGGAGGCCAAGGCAGGAGGATCACTTGAGGCCAGGAGCTCCAGACCAGCATGGGCAACATTGCAAGACCCCATCTCTACAAAAAAATTTTAAAATTATCAGGGCATGGTGGCATGCACGTGTAATCCCAGCTACTCAGAAGGCTGAGGTGGGAGGATCCTTGAGCCCAGGAGTGCGAGGCTGCAATAAGCTTTGATTGTGCCACTGCACTCCAGGCCAAGCAACAGAGCAAGACCTCATCTCTAAACAAAAATAGAAGTTCAAGGTCGCAATCATGTTCCAAGATTCCACAGAGACACACAATACGGCTTATGGAAGGCCTCCTCTCAACTGCAAGTGAGAAGCAGAAGGTGTGTGGAGGGTAGACAATGAGACTTCATGGTCAGGCGGGCCTGTGTCTGAATGGAACTGAGACAGGGATGTTAAATAACTTGCCCAAAAGCACACAGCCAGTGAGGCAGGAAGTCAGTATTAAACCTCAGGCAAATCTTAGGGGAATTATGCTGAGGGAGAAAAAAAAGCCAATCTTAAGAGGTCACATACTGTCTAATTCCATAACATTCTTGTGTAACATTCTTGAAATTACGAAATTATCAAAATGGAGAACGGGTTCCAGGTCAGAGGGGTAGGGAGGGAGGTGGCTGAAGCCATAGCAGGGTAGGATGAGAAGTCCTGTGGTGATAGAACAGGTCTGGGTCTTGATTGTGGTGGTGGTGTGATACCGAAATCTATGTGTGATACAGTTGCACAGGATTAAATACACACACACACACACACACACACACACAGGATGTATTAAAGCTGGTGGAATCTGAAAAAGCTCTGTGGATTGTTCCAATGTCAATTTCCCGGTTTCAGTAGTGTTCAGTAGTATGCAAGATATTACCCGTGGGTGAAACTGAATGAAGGGTTCACAGGATTTCTGTTTTTATTTCTTACAACTGTGCATGAATCTATAATTACTTCAAAATAAAAAGTTAAAAACCAACCAAACAAAAAGCAACTCAGGCAGTTGTAGGCTTGAGCCTAAGCCTTAACCATGATGTAGGGCCAGTAGCTGTGAAACTTTTATGAATCAAGAGATTTTTTAATTAAACAATTTCTATTATTCTGCAATGTTCTCTTTACCTTTTTAATGGACAAGGAAAATAAATCTAATTTAAAATAGCTTTCAAATGCATGTATTGAGTATTTTATCTAAATCCTTACTTTCTCATAATATAGCCCACATAAAACATCCCAATTCAACATAAGGGGAGAAAACAGCTTCTAAAATATCTGCATTTCTTTCACACATCCCCATTAAAATACAAACTTCTATAGATAGAAAAGTAATCAGGAAGCAAAAGCTTTAAAATAATCCTTGGCCAGGTGTGGTGATTCACGCCTGTAATTCCAGCACTTTGGGAGGCCGAGGTGGGCAACCCCGTCTCTATTAAGAATACAAAAATTAGCCAGGTATGGTGGCACATGCCAACATGGTGCAACCCCGTCTCTATTAAGAATACAAAAATTAGCCAGGTATGGTGGCGCCTGCCTGTAATCTCAGCTCCTGGGGAGGCTGAGGCAGGAGAATCACTTGAGCTGGGAGGCAGAGGTTGCAGTGAGGCTAGATTGTGCCACTGCACTCCAGCCTGGGCGACAAGACTCTGTCTCAAAAAATAAAATAATAAGCAAGACTCTGTCTCAAAAAATAAAAAAATTAGAAAAAATAATCCTCAATGTCCAGCACCATGGACTGAACTGTCCATGTAACACTCACGTGTTTCTACTGCATTTGTGGAAGGCTGTAGGGAGAAAGGAGTGCCTTTGCTCAGCATACCTTCTGCAAGTGTCCCCCAAATCCATAGTAAAAGTAACATCCCTTTTGTTCACCTTTAGTTGTTTAGATTTTTCTGAAATTTTACATTTTAGGCTCTGGAAGATACTATATCGCATGTACAGCAACAATCTGCGCAAACTGCTATGCTTAATTGTGGGAAAATGTATTTTTAAACAATCATTTACAAAGCAAATTTGAGATAGCACAGGATGGTGACCTGGCTCTGCAGAGACCACAGGCAAGGAGGCAGAACAGTCTGGCAAGACTGTGATCCGGGAATGCAAACCTGGGCCTGAGAAGGAGGGGAAATTAATTCCCCCAGAGAGGCCTGGGAGCCCTGGTGAACCCGAGAGCAGGGAAAGGACCAGCTCGACCCATGAACTCCTGGGAAGAGCTGGGGAGCCAAGATCCTCTTGGCCCCAAGCAAGGCAGCTTAGGGACAGTCACAGGGCACAGGCCTGGGGGGCTGCACCAGCAGCTCTGGAAAACCTGGCTCTCCTTCACTTACTCTGCCTGCCCCTTCTCCCTTCCTATAATAGGAAGAGATTGCTTGAGAAAAAAATTAAATAATATTTTCATTGTAAATTTGAGAATTTATCAAAGAGAAACATTTTCTGCTCTTGGGCCTCAGGCAGCTGCATGGTCTGCATCCCAAGACCTGGGTGCTAGGTGATAATGACAAGAGCTTTGATGGGTATGGTGCCAGAGCAGAGCTCAAGAGAGGATGACTTGAGCAAAGATTTGACATGTAGTTCATTTCCCTCTCCTGCTTTTTAGTATTTGTATTTGATTCCAGACTTTCCTACTAAGTACCTGTAATCCCAGCACTTTGGGAGGCCAAGGTGGGAGGATCACTTGAGTTCAGGAGTTCAAGACCAGCCTGGGCAACATAGTGAGACCCCCCCCTCCCTCGCCGGCTCTGTTAAAATAAATAAAAATTAGCTGGGTGTGGTGGTGTGTACCTGTAGTACCAGCTACTTGGGAGGCTGAGTTGGGAGAAGCAGTGAGCCTGGGAGGTCGAGGCTGCAGTGAGCCATGATGGCGCCACTGCAGTCCAACCTGTGCAACAGAGCAAACCCTGTCCAAAAACACAAAACATAAAAGGGGTAGGGGGAATAAGCATTCCCATTAATTTCTGATGAACCCCAAAATGGGTTACTGTTGGTGATTTTATAGCCTCCAGCAGTCAGTGCAAAGACTTTCAGATTCCTACGCGTGAGACTTAGGCCTGGTGGGTATAACATGTGGGGGAATCAGCCAAGCTCACAGTGATCCTCTCACTGCCCTTGTTACCTACAGGAATAGAAGAGCACCCAGGACTGTGGGTGCACTGGAATACTGCACCCTTGGCCCCACCCCCTCCCAAACACAGTTGGTGGGCCCGGCCTCTACTTCCTGCAACTGAAAATGAGTCTGAAATTCTGGTTCTGTCCGTTCTGTGCAGACTGCAGCTGACATGTTTTATGCCATGGGGATGGAGTAACAGGAACACCCATCTTCAGGGACAGGACTGAAGCTGATGAGAGGCACATAGATAAAAAGTGTCCTCAGAGACTTTCCTCTTCCAAGTGTTATCCTTTTCTGGGACCCAGCCACAGCCCCCTTCTCAGGTCTCCACGGCACACTTCCTTTTCCTCATGATAATGTCTACCTTTCTGGCCAATCTGGTCTGAGTTCGTTTTTCTCACCTTCCAAGGAAGTGTCCTGCTGAATAGTGGTGGAGTCTGCAGGGCCAGCGACTGTGCTGTTTTGCTCAGCACTGTATCTCCTGTGCTATTGCATCTCCTGGCATGTAACAGGGGCTCAGTGATGGAGTTTTGCTCTTGTCGCCCAAGCTGGAGTTCAGTGGTGAAATCTCGGCTTACTTCAACCTTCGCCTCCTGGGTTCGAGCAATTCTCCTGCCTCAGCCTCCCAAGTAGCTGGGATTACAAGCACCCGCCACCACGCCAGGCTAATTTTTGTATTTTTAGTAGAGATGAGGTTTCGCCATGTTGGCCAGGCTTGTCTCCAACTCCTGACCTCAGGTGATCCACCTGCCTCGGCTTCCCAAAGTGCTGGGATTACAGGCATGAGCCACCACATCAGGCTGACACAGAGATTTTTTTTAAAACTAAACTTGAAGTAAAAACACACCACTTTAGCCATGTTTAATTCAACAGAAACGTTATTAGCTTTGGCCCACACAAGGGGTGGGGGTGTTTACAGAAGAATGTAGAGATAATCGGCGCTGTCTTAGAGGTTTCCCACCACACCCTTCTAGTCACTTGGCAAAGAAAGCAACCTCAATCTCATATATGAAATATATATATATGAGATATATATATGTATATATGTATATATACGTACACATATACGTATACATACGTACACATATACGTATACTTGTATACGTATATATACATATATATGTATACGTGTACATGTATACGTATATATATACGTGTATATATATGTCATTGGAACTACATATATAGTTTCATACATATGTAACTATATATCTATTTATACATATATGTAACTACGAAACTATATATGTATGTAACTTTGTATACATAAAGTCCAGTTTCAATGGCATCCATGGAAATGCTGAGCAACCAGTTCTTGGCAGGGTGGGGCTAAGGGTACCTCTGTAGCAAAAGTTCATAGACAGTCATGTAAGCTTCACATTTTACATAATTCAGACTCATCTTCAACATCCATATTTCTTGGAGAAAACGTTCAAGAGAATCTGGTTGGGCCAATGTGGGAAAGGAGTCCATGGCCAATTAACTATGGCAGGGAAGGCAAGACCATGAAGAACAAGCCTGTGTGCCAGAGGTCCACCGCTGTGGGCAGGGGAGCTGCGCTCTCAGAGGGAGAACAAACGGGTGATGCACCAGACTTCACCCTGGTGATGCTTACAGCCTGCATCTCTGATGGGAAGGGATTGGCAGCAGCTAGAGCTGAGAGCAGGCTGCTCAAGGGAAAGGAGCTGTGATGAAAGCAGGGGCCTCAGGAGGCAGGGAGGTGCATCTGCAGCAGCTCTCAGGTCATATCCTAGGCCTGTGTTTGGCTCAGGCTAATGCCTCACATGCTTCTGCCTGCCTCAGAGACATCAAAAGTCTGTGCGTATCATGTTAGTGAACAAACGAACTTTAGTGTCCTACCAGGGTCTCAGACTAACCAGAGAAGAGGAAATTAGCTCAGAGCTGGACTCAAGCCTTCTGTGCTAACCTGTGCAAGCAATCATGGCCTCAGGAGGCTCCTGGGTACTGCCTCTTTAGAGGACAAGAGCAGGTGGTCCTGAGGTCCCAGTAGATGCTGCAAAGCATGGGCACCATTGGCTGCCACTGCAGGCTAAGATTGGTTGATTCAGACGTTTGGCAACAGTGAAAATTCTGTGGAGGAAATATTTCCTAGGGCCTGATGCACCCTCAGGCAGGCCCCACCTGCACCAGCAACGGGCTAAGATCCTTGCTAGCCATCTCTAGTGGAGCTTCATCTAGATCTGAAGTAGCTGTAGGCCTATCATTGCTTCTTTTGTCTTTTTGAACTTTTTATTATGGAAAGTTCCAAGCGTACCTAAAGTAGAGGGACTAGACAGACTAACATAATGAACTTCCACGCGTTGATTACCCAGCTTCAATAATCACCAACTCATGGCTGATCCTCTTTCTTCTATAGCCCCGCCCACTGTCCCCACCCACCCTGCAGATTATTTAGAAATAAATATCATTATATCATTTGATTCATACTTCAGTATATATTTCTGAAAGATAAAACGAATTTAAAAAATCTTTAAAAACCTCTACAAAATCCAAAATAGCCATTATTACGTCTAAGATGATTAATAAATTCTCATCAGAAGTATAGTAGAGGCTGTGCTTTGTGGCTCACGCCTGTATTCCCAGCACTTTGGGAGACTGAGACAGGAGAATCACTTGAGGTCAGGAGTTTGAGACCCATCTGGGCAAGAAAGCGAGACGCACCCCTCCCAATACCCCTACGACCCATCCCCCACCCAACACACAAATTTAGCTGGGCTTGGTGGTGCATGTCTGTAGTCCCAGCTACTCAAGATGCGGAAGTGGAAGGATTGCTTGAGTCCAGGAGCTCAAGGCTACAGTGAACCAAGATCATGCCACTGCACTCCAGCCTGAGTGACAGAGCAAGACTCTACGAAAGGAAGGAAGGAAAGGAAGGAAAGGAAGGGAGGGAAGGAAGGGAAGGAAGGAAAGGAAGGGAGGGAAGGAAGGAAGAAAGGAAGGAAGGAAGGGGAGGTAGGAAGGAAAAAAGGAAGGGAGAGGAGGAGGAGGAGGGAGGGAGGGAAAGGAGGGAGGGAGGGAAGATCAGAGGGAGGGAGGAAGGAAGGAAGGAAGGAAAAAAATCAGTATTCAAATATTCCCTGTTACTGCTTTTCTTAATACATAGACTAAAAATTAAAATTTCAATTTCCCCAACTGCTTTTAAAAACATTCATATTTCACTGGTGACTACAACAAAAATGTATAAAGCCAACAAACAAAAATGTATAAATGACAAAAAATTAAATCTGCTCTTTAGAACTTGATAATTCATGAGAAAATGAAAATAGTTTCCATCATCCTTTCTCAGGCTGCTGTTTTTTATTTGTCTAAGAAGAAAAGAAAATATGTCAAAGCCTATGGTAGTCACTAGGGCTGTTCACTGATGGGCCCACTTATTTATCTCCAGCCAATGGGAGGATTGAACTTCCCTGGTACCTTGAAGTTTGTGTGGTCATATGACTTGTTCTGGCCAATGAGTGTGAGTGGAAGTGATGAAACGTCAGTTCTTACCAGAAAATTTAAATCGACATTAGGAGACCCTCCATAACCCTCTTTTCTTTCTGCTACAAGTGACCCAAATTACTCCACTAGCCAGGATCCTGGATCAACATGTTGTGGGAGAGAAAAAAACAAATTGCTGTTTTAAGCTATTGAGATTTGGGGGTTCTTTATCATCACAGCATAACTTGGCCTACCCTGACTTATAGAAAGTGGCTAGGCTTAAGCTTGTGATTTCAGGGAAGTTCAAGCTAAGGCTAATAACCTTTTAATGTCAGTCCTCTTGAGGAATCATTTCATTCACCTCTTATGATATTACTATATTGATCCATGCTATCATTTTACTAGAGGAGTAGAATTTTAATTCTGTAGTCTTCGACATTATTATGAGATTAAAACAATAATTATAAGAGTGGCCTGCCATATAAAACACCAAAGATATATACAACTTTAATTAAATGGACCCGAAGACGAAACAAAAGACGAGACCCTGGCCTGGAAGTCATGTCTCTGCCCTGCCATGGTCTTGGATAGGTTTCTTCATTTCTGGGCCTCAGTTTTCTTTTTTATAATAATGATTATTATTATAACAGTGACATTGTTGAATATCTGCCATTTGCTAGGTAATTCCATGGTACTTTAGTTTATTCAATTCTTACAACTAATCTTCAGTAGTTATTTTTACCCTTTTTTAAAAACGTGAAACTGTGGAAACTGAAGTTTAGACAGGCTGAGTAATTTGTCAAACCATAGCTGGAAGTGGAGGAGATACTTCCAAAGCCAGACTCAAATAAATATTTAAGATCCATTTCTTGTTCTAAAATCCTATGGCTATTTTGGTGTAAGATGATTCACAAGAAGCAAAATTACATTGTCAAAATGAAAATCATATTTACTCCACCAAAAAGAGCAGTTCTCTTACTGGCAATCATATTTTCCAGTGTGATAGAACACATATTTTATGGAGATCAAAGACTCTGCTATTAATATTTCCTTGCCTGCATAAACTATGAAAGGGCTTCGAAGCATCAAACTTTTATGACAGTGCATGGTAACCATTGTTAATGTATTGTATTATTGAAAATTGCAAAGAGAGTAGATTTTCAGTGTTCTCACCACAAATAAGAATGTATTAGAGGTAATGCATATGTTAATTAGCTCAATTTAGCCATTCCACAACATATACATATTTCAAAACATCATGTATACAATAAATATATACAATTATTGTTTGTTAATTTAAAAAATTAGTTTTAAAAACTTTAGGACTGAATACAGATGCTCACCGTAATGTAGACTAAAGGTGAAACAAAATTATTCCCCTTGAGATTTTGCACAGACTATTTCTTTGCTAACATTTTTAAGAATAATTCAAACACTTGTTAATTCATGGTCATAAAGACTTCTGACCAGCCATGGTGTGTGGTTTTAAAATATCAGATTTATTTTATTTATTTGTTTGTTTTATTTTTATTTTTTTGAGATGGAGTTTTGCTCTTGTCACCCAGGCTGGAGTGCAGTGGCACAATCTCAGCTCACTGCAACCTTTGTCTCCTGGGTTCAAGCGATTCTCCTGCCTCAGCCTCTCAAGTAGCTGGGATTACAGGCATGCACCACCACGCCCGGCTAATTTTGTAATTTTTTTTTAGTAGAGACGAGATTTCACTATGTTGGTCAGGCTGGTCTTGAACTCCTGACCTCAGGTGATCCACCCGCCTCGGCCTCCCAAAGTGTTGGGATTATAGGCGTGAGCCACTGCACCCAGCCTATCAGATTTAAAATACTAAATTTAACTTGTTAAAGTACCAGAAATTAAAGTAATAACATTTAAAGGAAGTAGAATTTACCTTCTGGAAAACACTGCACAGGTACGTGTGTGCGCTAGCTGTGATGCCTGCCCTCAGACCACCCTGCAGAGGCCATGCAAAATGGCCAATTCTCGATTCTTCATTTAGGGAACTCACACCAGACTTGGCAGAGAGAATTGTGTCTCTCCTACCTTATATTTGTCTCTGCAATTGTCATTATTTTACTGTTTTAATTTTTTCATTGTTTCTGGTATTTATCTGCATCTTGAATATGTTGATCTTTGCCTTTACTTACTATTGCTGGGAATTTTACAGTTACAAGCAATTAAATAATAGGGAGAGGGAGAAACACAAACATCCCTCAATACATTGTTCAATGGCCTTTTTTTCCCCTGAATGGCTTTCCATGGCTGTTAGTTTCCACCAAGCAATGCAATATTAAGTACAGTTGAATGACGGGTGAGGCAGGCTTCTTTAATAATGGTGTTTAGGAACATTCAGAAACTCAGGGCAGCCTAAAAATCAACTTTAAAGTACTCATCAGTACTAGAGAGGACAATGGTAAGGGGAGGTGGAAGGAACAAGAAAAATACTAGGGTATTATTTCCCTCCTTTTAATTGAAAGACTACCAAACCACATGACATTTTTCAAAAGTCACAAGATTAATAATTAAATGTTGCAGGAGAGAAAAAATCAGAGTGGCGCTGGAGCCTATTGTGGAGGAGTTGAAAGGGCAGGCCAAGATTTTGATTCATGTTAAACTTGGCTGTTTGTCCCAAAAAACATTTCTAAAGAATGCCAGAAAAATAAATATAAGCTTATAAACTGTGTCAGTCAGCTTGGAAGGAAAATATTGAACAAACCCATCATTAATTCTCACATCTAAATCCAGTATGTTTATTAGTAAAGGTATGTATGTGTTGTGGTAGTGGTCATTGATGAGATCTTAGTTCATGTAGATTTAGAAATTGCAAAGGAATCTAGTTTTCCTGAGGAATATATGAATAAGGATCTTCAAATATGGGATCCACACTGATACAGAGCTCGGCCCACATGCTCAGAAGCTACTACCCTCATCCTGCTGCATGAACTTGACTGAGGTCTATTTGCCCTACCCTAGGTTACCATAATTTACTACTAAGTTGAACAGACTTAAACCTTAGGCTTCGTGAGCTGACTTTTTTTAAGAATAACACCCAGGGAAACCTCCCAAGGAATAAGGGACACAGGAGACAAAATAAGCAGGTTACTCTTCATCCTGAATAAGACAGACAAGATGCCATATTCCTTCTTACTCGCTTGACTGCTGTGGGCTTCAGACTAGATGAAAGAGACAGAGAACTGAAAATAAAGAAAAATCAGTTAAAGAACTTGAAAAGGCTGGGTAAATAAAGAAATGAGTAGAACCCAGAGTTGCCTTCATTTAATACTCCTCCTCTTTCCTCCTTTGATTCATTTCTTCCTATTCTACCATATTTTGTATATGTCTCTTATTTACCAGATTTGAAGCTCCCTGGAGGAGAAGGACTATGTCTTCGTGATCTTTATCTTTTAGTTCTGTTCATTCATCCATTCATCTATCCATTCATGTAATAAGTGTTATTGAGTGCCCAATATGTGCCAATATTGTAGAAGCTCGGAATTCATCAGTGAGCAAAACGAATGGGGGGAAAGATTGGTAATAACAATACATTTAATGAGTAAGTAAAGTATATAGTATTATAGAAAGTGATAAGTGTTATGGGGGGAAAATGAGTGCAAGGTAAGGAGGATTGGGTCTTGAGGGTAGGTGTAATAAGCTGCAGTATTAACAGTGGTGATCAGGGTATGCTTCGCCAAGAAAATCATAACTGAGCCAAGACTGAGAGGAAGTATGACAGTGAGCCCAGCAGAGAACCAGGGAGAAGGGGGTGGGGAGAAAGCACTTCAGGTGGAGGGCTAGAGGATAGACCCTGGAGTAGAAGCATTCCTGATATGTTCCAGGAACAAAATGGTGGTCATTTCAGCTGAAACAGACCGAGCCTGGAGGAATCCAGGAGGAATGGAAAGACCGGGGCAAGCCAGATCAAGGAAGCTTTTACCCTGAGATGGGTATTCAAATATTCCCTGTTATTGCTTTTTTTAATATACAGTCTCTAAAAATTAAAATTTCACTTTCCCCAACTGCTTTTAAAAACATTAAGCAGGCCACTGCAGGATGTGAACATTGAGAGACGTGACATGTCTTATGTTTTAAATGGATCATGCTGGCTGTCAGGTTGACAATAGACTATAAAAGTACAAATTTATGTCAAAATATAAAGCAAAGCCCAACAAAACTCAAAAAAAAAAAAAAAATCAAAGATGAGTTTATATACTGCCAGGGGTGGATGTAAACACACCAGTGAAAAAGTTCACTGAGTAACTCATGAATTAGGAAAAGTCAGGGTTTTTTAAGTGTGAGAAAGAGAGAAGGGAGTTTGGAGGTTATGCGGATTAAGGGCTGGAAAGTAGTGCTCTGGATAGGTTGGAATAGTGTTGATAAAACATGTCCCTTTGTTAACTGGTCAGAAAGGAGTCTTTGGTTAGGTCTAACAAGGGTCTGGTATGGGGTCACTCAAAGTTCACAGTCCTTGATCTGCTTCAGTTGGTTAGAACCAGTTGTGGTAGAGCATAGCATTCCGTTTTGATATCTACTATGCAAGTGTTGTAAGTGGAAAATTTTCTTTTACAGGTGGAAACAGGGAAACCTGTTAGGAAGCTCTTGCAGAAATCCAGGCAGCGGATGACAGGGCTCATACCAGAGTGGAGTAGTGCAGGTGGTGAGAAGCAGTTAGATTTGGGTACATGTGGAGAGAGTAAAGAATGACTCCCAGGTTTTTGGCCTGTGCAACTGGATGGTTGGAGTTGCCCTGGAGATAGGAAAGGCTGTGGGTGAAGCATGTTTGCATGGGAAGATGTGGAGTTCATGTGAGTTTAAGACACCTCATTATACACCTGAGTGGGAACAGCAATAGAGACAGCGAGGTCTGGCTGGTGACATGAAGTGGGGACCTGAAAGTGTATAGATGGTGTTGAACGGCAGGATACCAGGTGCATTCACCTATGCAGCAAAGGAGATAGAACCCTGGAAAGCCCAACAGTTTACTCCCTCCTAGTTCCAGTTTTAATTCATAGAAGGCATTCTTGCACACCTCCTTAAGTATTTTGTGGAATGAAGTGGAGGTATCAATGGATCAAGGATCTTCGTGCCTAATGTGGTGTTTTGAAAAGAGTGAGTGCTCACTAATAGCTACTTTTGACAGTCTCCTATGTCCCAGACACTAGTCTATATGCTTCACAAACCTATATGCTTAATCTCCCCAAATTTATATCATAATCCCCATTTTTACAGATTAGGAATCTGAGGCCAGAAAAGTCATTTGCTCAGCATCATATAGCTAGTAAAGGCAGGGATGGGATTTAAGTTCAAATTTGTCTGAGTCTCTTATAATTCTGCCTTGAATGGTAAATTACTAACCTGCATAGAGAGCAAAATGAACAGAAAGTGAGGAGTCCCAACAGCTTGTAGCTCCTGGCATATATCACTGTGCAACAGTCTTCAATCTTGAGCCTGTATCAGAATCACTTGGATGCCTTGTTTAAACAGATTGTTGGACCTCAACCCAGAATTCCTGATTCCACAGGTCTGGGATTTGGCCTGCTAATTTGCACTTCTAACAGGTTCCCAGGTGTTGCTGCTACAGCTGGTCTGGGGATGACACCTTGAGAACCACTGGTTTAGCGAGTTTTCCCTGACTCTGCCAGCTAATACCTCCACCTGCCAAATGGCCAGGTCTCTCCAATTTCCAAAAGGGAAAAAGAGAAAAGTTCACAACTAATCAGAACTATTTGAGAGTCCTTAGTGTGATGGTTCCTTCAATTTTAACTCCTGGTTCTCTCCTGAGACACATGAGGGTTGGGGAGTGGGGGTAGAGGATCATAGGGTGATGGTGGCTCCACGCCAGGTTCTCTCTAACACACAGTTTACCATGCTGTCTAGCAAAACGTCTTTCACTGTTAGACTCTCAGTGGCCTCATTGTCCTTTCCTGGGAGGAAAGTTCCATCATCACCCCTCCTGCTCCTAGTGTCCCTCAGGCACAGGGGAGGGTTCAGGTATGGTGGGCCTTAAAAGCCTACCCAACTATTGGGAGGGCTCCTTTAAGAACAAGAATACAGGCTTATAAATACACAATTAGGTTCAGGGACTTGGAAGGAACTTGTGCAAGAGAGGGGGCCCTGCGGCTTAAGCTTCATTAGCTGCATGGGAAATCGAACTCTGATCAAACATGTCTGTATACGTCTAAAGATCCAATTACAGACAGGTGCAAGTTATTTCCCATGGAGCTGCTGAGCCTCAGGCTAACCAGGGGATGTGGCTGATTGCTGTGTAAGAGAACCTCAGCACTTCATGGTTGGAAAGGCTTGTTTGTCCTGAATCTGGCCATGGGGGAAGGGCTGCTGACTTGCAGAGCTAGCACGTTGGAGGCTAAGCAAAAGCGCTCAGTTACATATCCTTGGGTTTGATCTCTTCCGTGAGTCAAAAGCCTTCCAGAAATCTCTTGCCTCAGACATTTTAAACGCCAACTTAAGAGATAATTATTCCTATTTCATTACATCAAAATAAAATTTGACTACTCAATTTTAAGGCTAATATTCAAAAAAGTAAAATTGCTTATGATTAATTTTTTGAGACGGAGTTTTGCTCTTGTCGAGGGTATAGTGCAGTGGCGCTATCTTGGCTCACTGCAACCTCCACCTGCCGGGTTCAAGCGTTTTTCCTGCCTCCGGAGTAGCTGGGATTACAGGCATGCACTACCACGCCCGGCTAATTTTTATATTTTTTAGTAGAGACGGGTTTTCACCATGTTGGCCAGGCTGGTCTCGAACTCCTGACCTCAGGTGATCCGCCCACCTTGGCCTACCAAAGTGCTGGGATTACAGGCGTGAGCCACTGCGCCCTGCCCTAAAATTGCTTTTTAAAATCATTAGGCTAAGGTCATATTTAAATATATATTAATTTATGAATAAATTTAAGTGCTTGCTTGACACAGGGGACTACTTCATAGAGTAGATTCTGGAGTTCCTTTTGTCTTTCTGAAACCTTATTTTCCTATCTAGCTTGTTCTGAGACGTACTGTGGGCAGACTTGGCCTTACACATATATCGACTCACTCAACAAATACAGCTAAGGAAAGTAAAATGTCTCTGGGCTACAAGCTGGGAGGAAGTTACTAAGATGAGTAAAGAAGGACCCCCTCCAAGAGCTTAAATTAAGTCTTGGAGACAACAGCCATGCGCACCAAGAAGCTCAACCTAAGATGAAAAGGGCATCTAAGAGGCGCGAGATGGCTCGTGAAGGTAACAGACGTCTTAAGAATTTTTCCGGGCCCAGCACAGTGGCTCACGCCTGTGATCCCAGCACTCTGGAAGGCCGAGGAAGGCGGACTGCTTGAGCCCAGGAGTTCGAGACCTGCTCGGCCAACATAGTGAGACAGCGTTTCTTAAAAGAAAAAGAAAAATTGGCGTGGCGTGGTGGCGGGTGCCTGTAGTCCCAGACCGCACCACTGCACTCCAGCCTGGGCGGCAGAACCAGACCCTGTCTCAAAAATAAATAAATAATTAAAAAATAAAGAAAAGAAAAAAAAGAATTCTTCCTCGAGAGAGGAAGCCGGCTACTGGATATTCTAAAGAGCAGTCTGTTTGCCCCTGCCTTCTCCATCCAGAGTCACCGACGCTTTCTGCACACGAGGTGTTCCGCGCCAATGTGGGCACAAGCCAAGGCAAGAGGACTCCATCAAGCTCCTCCTGGGTACCATGATTTGGAAGACCCAAGGATGAGTTCAGCGGGCCACCATCCTCAAGGAAGCACCATCAAGAACTGAGTCAGGCCCGGGGTATTCTCGACGTCAAAGCGGTCGAGAGGTGGGGGTGCCACCAGGAAGAGTCACTGGAACGGACCTTCCGCGCTCGTCTCGCGGTCTGTATGCGCACTCACACCCCTGGAAGGCTCTACCACTGTAGGACAGAGCACGGAGGATTGCCCAGGCGCCGGAGAAGAGGTTAGCGCCCCGCAACTCCGCCCCTGCCCCGCCCACGCAACGCGGCGGCTGCGCGGCGAGGCCGCCCCGTCTCCACGTGATTGCCGACACCGCCTCCGCGAAGCAGAAGCCGCCATCATAAGTCCTGGCAGCTGGACCTGGGCCTGCCTCCCTCCTTCTCCTGCGCCAGGTAGCGGTAACGGGCTGGGGTTGTTCTGTCCTGGTTCTGTCTGGCCGTGAAGCCGCAGGCCTCCGAGAGCGGGACGAGGAGGTGGGGCCCAGGGGGCTCCGGGGCGGACAGACTGACCGCCGGACAGCCCAGGTGTCGGCACAGCGTGGGCGGTGCCCAGAGCCGCGCCCCGCCCCTCGCAGGCCAGCGCTCAGGGCTCGCGGGCCGTGCCCGTTTCCAGTATGGCCGCCCGCCGCGCCTGACCCGCGGCCTCTCCGCTCCGACTGCTTGTAGGCGATGCCCAGGCAAAGACCGTGACTGACACTCTCGCTCACACGCACGCACGGACCCAGGCCCACGCTCGGAGATCGAGCCCCGGGCTCGCAACCGTTGTCGCTCCCGGCGCCGCGGCCAGAGCCCGGACCACGGCTTCCGCGCCGCCGCCGCCTCGCCGAGAAGGGCCGCGCCGGACCTCGAGCGCGGCGGCCCCCGGCCGGCAGGGATGGGGAAGCGGGCGGGAGGAGGAGCAACCGGAGCCACCACCGCCGCCGTCTCCACGTCCGCCGGGGCCGGGCTGGAACCTGCGGCCGCCCGTAGCGGGGGCCCGCGGAGCGCGGCCGCCGGCCTCCTAGGCGCGCTGCACCTGGTGATGACCCTCGTAGTGGCTGCGGCGCGGGCCGAGAAGGAAGGTGGGTGTCCCCCGGCGGCGTCCCTGCGGCGGGGCTGTCACCCCGCTCTCGCGGAGGCCGGGAGGGCTGGGCCGGGAGGAAGGGCCGCGGCCGGGGCTCCGGCGCAAAGTTGGGCGGTCGGGTACCGTCCCGAGCCGGGACCTCGCGGCGCCCGCCGCACGGAGTGGCCTTCGCTCTCCGTGATTCCTTCCCGTGCCTTCCCCCGTCTCCTGTCACTGCCATTTCAAAACTTCCTGACTTCTCGTACGTTCTTGCCACTTGGCCCGCTAGGTAGGAGGGGCATATTTTTTGGCTTTATTGCGGCGAATAGGTACATTTTAGGACACTTCTGTTTTCTTGGTTGCGGTTGGTTGCATGCAGACAGAGCTTACTTTAAAATGTGGTAAAAATAGCGAGACACAGCTTAAAAAATTTCACTTTGAATTTGTTCAGACATTTCTTCGAGGGGAAATCTTGGTCCTGTAGCTTCCTCCTTTAGTGTCTCTGCGTTATTGATAACTTTATTATTAGACCTAAATACAATTCCATTTAACTCTTTAGTAAGCTGTTGAAAGCCTGTTTACATTTCTTATTTTAAAATACGTGATTCGGTGCCTTTATCTTTGATGTGAAAGCCTTTAAAAATAAACGTGAAGTTGCCAGCTTGCAAGCATTTATCTATAATTTACAGTTAAGGGCTGGCCCCTATTTTAAAAATCTCATTAGTATTGTACTGCTGCAAAACGGGTACTTGGACAGGGTCAAAAATTATTTTGTAATCTTGAAGACCAAATCAGTGTAATTTCATCTACACTACCTCTTTTTGAGCCAAGGGACATGTGAATGGTCACAGAGCCTTCATGAAGAATTGACTAAGTGAATAGTTTAAAAAAAAAACAAACCACGCAAAACTTGTTAGTTTAGCATTGCACATGAAACTGCCTGTACAAGAAAACAATTTCTTGCCACGGTAATTTTAGAGTTAACATTCTACTTTATGACTAAAGTCACTTGCTTTTTATTGTTGCTGAAGGTGAAAGCAAATACAAACCAAATTAGTATTAAAGTGCAAATGTGCTTCAGTATACTGTTTCTTTTATTTTTGTCCACATTACATTCCCTTATCTAACTCTCTAAGCAACCTTAGTCTGAGTTAACATTGGTGGAAATTATTCAAAGAATTGTCGTCTATAGAAAGGATTAATTGATGGAAGCAAAATTATTTCCAGAATAAAATATTGCCGCTTTAGGACTAGTCGGTCCTGGGGTTGTCATAATACATCATTGGCCACAGATCTGCAGTTAGTTGAGTGTTCTTTCTTATGTGTGATCGTGGCACCTAGCATTTTGGCCTGTAGTGGGTGTTCAGTGAACCCAAAATAGTGCAGTAATTTAATGGACATTTTTTGGGTGGGACTTCAAGTAGACCTTGGTGGGTATTGTGTCCTTGTTTTTCTGTTCCTTTGCTTACCTTGCACAGTGCCAGACACACTGGCGCTTAGCCTTTGAGTGAATGACTGTCTTCATGCGCCCTTAGCACAGGGAATTGAAATAATGGTTGAATCTAGTAAAGCATTAAGTTTGTATTTTCCTTCTACTGCTGCTGATTTTTCCAACAGCCATTTTATATGCTAATAAAAACTTTACTCTGGGTAAAGTTAAGTAAACAAACCTTTTGTTTGAGAACTGTCAGCCTAAAATATATTTGCTAATTTCTCATTTGCATAGTTTATACATGTTAGTGCACCTCTCTAATACCCATAAATGTGTGTAAGGATTGGATGAGGAGAATACTTGCCAGGGTGTTAAGTATGTATTAAAGGGGTGGTTGAATCAGCCAGTGGCCTGGGTGAATCAGATATCCTTTGTGGCCCATGCTTTTCTGTATGAACAATTTGTGTGTGCGGTTATCCAAGATATTAATGGAGATGATGCTGATATAGAACATAGGCCTCTACCCATCATAAACAGATCTGGTTCTAATCAAATATTCTGTGAAGGTATCTCCAGAAATGGCTTCTCCTTTAAAACTGATCATATTCCAGTATTGTTTCTGAGTAAGTAGGGGAAAAGCAATTTATTTTCTTACGTGATTGTGACACTGTGAGTCTGGCATCTGATGAGGCACAAATACAGTATTTGTCCTAAAAGGTACTGTTGAGTTTTTCAGCAAGTTTGGGCAGATTTCTGAAGATGGCTGAGTTCAGTTTGATCATTCACACCCGGAGGAATTTTGTGTCTATTGAAGTAGCATAAACTAGTTTAAAATTTCAAAGTTAAGATTTACCTGCAGTTTTAATGATGATTCTGCAGGTATTTTGTATGTTTGTATTTCTTTTCCTTCATTACTGTATAATTTCACTGCAAAATCTTTAAAAGACAATAAAACTCATTGTCTCCTGAAGAAAAGCTGCAGAAATAAATTACCTAATGTAGTTTTTCATGTTTGGACTTGATGTTGATTTTCTTGAGTCAGAAGCATGGACCATTCCTTGTCTTAACATCCTATATGACTTAACTGAGCTATGGGAGTGTGCTATCACTAGTCCAGAGGAAAGGTACCTTTGAGATGGTTTTGGCTGTGATGTAAAGTTTGTAAGGACTTTGAAAGAGTTTCCAGAGATAGAAGTTGTTATAATCACTACAAATAACTAGTTCTAGATTGGTGGCAAGATTTTGTCTTGAGGCTAACATCTAGATACTGAGAATAGCAAAAATGTGTGTGAGTTGTGAAAATATATTTTTAAAATATATAGTGAAAATACATGTGTATGTGTATATATTAAATGTATACTTTTAGTAGTCTTTTGAATTATAAAGCAGCCCATTATGACTGGCAAATAAGACCTTTTTTAAAAAAGCATTATATATCATGTAATATAATTTCATTGTGAAGTGGGTTTTTGGAAGGCATTTATTATAAATGAGAAGCTATAGTTTATGTATCTAGTAAATATAAATTCGAATAAGTTTTCAAGAATGTTTCAATTTATGACAATTTAAATTTCATTGTCACATGTTTTATTAATTGGCAATTAAATGGCAGGGTAACGTTTGACAGCCTTTATTAGGACTTTAAAAATTTTTTGCCAGTGTACTATAGTTTCATGCACAAATTTTTGTTTTAAGCTGTATTTGTGACATAGGTGCAAAACACAGTACAAAAGTATTTACAAAGCATATGAGAAAAGTGCATAGGACTAAAGACCACAAGAAAACAGATAAGAATCTAATAGTTTTCTAAGGGTAGCCAAATTGACTAGGAGTGTTATTTACTTTTTCTTAACCAAACTATTTTTAACCTACTTATTACTCGATAATGTTAAAATGTTTTTGAAAGTGATTTTCTTAAGAGTGAGATGTGTTAACCCTTTGTATGGGGTAGAGTGGGTACCTTTTAATTTAGGGCCTTGTAAATAGAATGTTATTTAATAAGTGCTTCACTAATGAACGTTTGTAGCCTGCTTTTACTAAAGGCTGTTGCCTGATGGAGCATTGGAGTTTTGTAGTTGGAAAAAGTGTGTCCTTTTTTCCTCTTGCTAATGACCATTTTCCTCCTCCTTCTAATTCTTACAGTGGACCCTCATAGACATCTGCCAACAAGATTGCTTTGGGAGTAGATGTAAACTCATCTAATTGTTACTATCCAGAGTAGCAATAAGCCAAATTACTCTTGGAGGAAAATAAAATCTTTGCTAGGTGCTTGATATTTTAGGTGTTCTCTCTCTTGCCTATATGTGACTCAAGCGCTCTGATTGGCCTTGCCAGACCAAGAGGCCCTTTTCCTACAGCTGAATTTTCCCCTACGGTCTCTTGTAAGCAGCATCTGGCATTGTTTCGGTGACTCTGTACTTCTCGGTTCTGGTTGTGCCCTAGCTGACAGTTGCTGCTCTCCAATTGCCTGTTGGTTGTCTTCCTCCCTGTGTGTGTCTAGCTGCTGGTGCACACTGCATGTGTCCAGGGCAGAATTATCTTGCGCCACCTCCAGTTTTCAGTTTTTTATTAATGCTATGATTATTCTGCCTGCCCCACTGGATTCAGTTTTGACCCTTCACCAAGTGGCATCAGTGCCTGTTACATCCTCTTTTGATCACTCTCCCACTGCCTTCACCATGGGGCACTGCAGCAGCCTCTCTCCTACCGCCTTTCGCCATTTCTGTTCAGTCCTGCATGCTCCCTCTGAATTTGTGGTCTTTGTTAATCATTCATCATTCATTTTGACACCTAATTGTGTACTGCCTTGTTAGCTACTTAAATGATTTCAGGGGTGTCATTCTTCACCTAGGCTGGAATTTCTGTAGGGCAGAACCTTTGTCAACATCTGTAGTACATAAATAGCAGGCATTCAGTTTTGATTGAAAGTTTGCCTAAACTTTCATTGTAATATAATTTCATTGTGAAGTGGGTTTTTGGAAGGCATTTAATTTATTATAAATGAGAAGCTATAGTTTATGTATCTAGTAAATATAAATTCGAATAAATTTTCAAGAGTGTTTCAACCTATGACAATTTAAATTTCATAGTCACATGTTCTATCAATTGGCAATTAAATGGCAGAGTAACGTTTGACAGCCTTTATTAGGACTTTTAAAATTTTTTGCCAGTGTACTATAGTTTCATGCACAAATTTTTGTTTTAAGCTGTATTTGTGACGTAGGTGCAAAACACAGTACAAAACTATTTACAAAGCATATGAAAAAAGTGCATAGGACTTTTTATACCTGAGAACCTGAGAGTCAGAAGTACAGGTAAAATTCAGTTCTGGTGCAGATGTCATGAGGAAGTCTGCTATAGTAGGACATTGAGTAACACCAGTTTTTTCTTCCCCACATGTTGCTTTTCCTTGTAACTAAAAGGAGTTGTATACACTTATCTAAACCATCACTTTTATAACTTTTTGATTTTAAGATTTTCAGATTCTCATAAAACCCTAATCTAGAGATCATGAAACTGAGGCTTAGAGAGGTTAAGTAATATACCCAGCGTGATAGGGCTGGTAAATAGTGGAGCCAGGATTCCGCCCTAAGACATCTGTCCCTTGAGCCAAACTATGTAACCCCAAATGAGCACTTCAGGAATTAGATTTTGTTATATTGTACCAACTGCAAAAAGAACAGACTTGACAGTTCATGCAAAACCCATGTATTAGTATTCAAGTAAAATGTACTTTTTTTTTTTTTCAATCAGCCACAAGCTTTCATATCACTTTCTGTTGACTTGTTAACAGTTTAAGTAATCACAGGCCATTCTGGATCATGAAGGTTCTTAAAAGGAAACCAGTGAGTGGATAATACAGGGAAATGAATATTTGGTATTCGAAGCTACTGTCTCTTTGTTCTTGATGACTTAGATACCTGGTTGTATTGCTAAGGTTAAGCAATATTGCCTTCTGTAGATACTGCTTAGCTCCAGATTGGTGTGATGAGTTAGTCTAGACTTGTGGAATATTCTCAGAAGCTGGCCCTGGACTAACAGGAGCTGGAGATAATGCAAGGGCTGGTAGTGGCATTTGCCTCGGCAGGCAGAAATCTCTCGCAGACTTCCATTAGAGGTCCAAGGGCTCCAGAAGAAGTTCAAAGGTGCTTTGTTCTTATTAGGGCATTTTGGAATTAGGTGGTCATTAGTTCTCATCTGTAGTTCCAAATCTGTTTTGTTGTTGTTGTTTTTTAATTCCCATGTGATTACTTTTAAAACCACAGATGGAGGGTTTCTAGAAAGCCTTTGCCATTTGCCTGATTGATTTTGTTGCATACAACTCTGCCGTTTTAGGGCAGAGGTTTGATGTTTAAGAGGATCTTTTAGATGGTCAGTCATGATAGAGTATGAAACCTACGTTTTTATTTATTTTCATTTATTTATTTTCTAGAAACTTGGTGAAAAAAACACATAACAAAATACTTAACCATTTTTATATGTACAGTTCAGTGGTGTTAAGTGTATTCACGTTGTTGTGTAGCAGATCTTCAGAACTTCTTCATGTAAAGCTGGAAGTCTATACCCATTAAACAACTTCCTATTTCTCTCCCTACCCTTAATCCCCACCCCCAGGCTCCTGGTAACCACCATTCTACTTTCTGTGTTTATGAATTTGACTACTTTAGATACTTCATATAAGTAGAATAATGCAGGATTTGTGACCTGCTTATTTTACTTAGCATAATATCTGTAAGGTTAATCCATGTTGTAGGATGTGACAGTTCCTTCCTTTTTTTTTTTTTTGTTTTGTTTTTTGAAATGATGTTTTGAGAATTTATTTACAACCATTGAACACGGATGATTTTGTAAAACTGACAATTACAGGCTCCTTAAACTCACAACATACATATATTTCAATATTTAAATAGCCTGTTTTCTTCAAAAGTAATTTTCTGCTTTTTCATAAAAATATAAAAAAGACAACATTTATAGTTCCTTCCTTTTTAAGGTTGAATTATATTCCATTGTATGGATATACCACATTTTGTTTATCCATTCATCCATCCGTGGACACTAGGCTTGCTCCTACCTCTTGGCTCTTGTGACTAATGCTGTGAAGTTGAGTATGCAAATATCTCTTCAAGACCCTGGTTTCAACTATTTTGCATATCTACCCAGAAGAGAGATTTCTGGATCATGTGATAGTTCTATATTTAATTCCTTAAGCAACCACCACATTTCCATAGTGGTTGCATAATCTCAGAATCCCGTGAATAATGCACAAGGATTCCAATTTCTCCATGCCCTTGCCAACAGTTGTTTTTGTTTTGTTTTGTTTTGATAGTGGTGTGAGGTGCTATCTCATTGTGGTATTGATTTGCATTTTTCTAATGATTAATGATATTGAGCGTCTTTTCATATCCTTCTTGGGCATTTGTATATCTCCTTTGGAGAAATGTCTATTCACGTCCTTTGCCCACGTTATATTCAGGTTTTGTTGTTGTTGTTGAGTTATAGGAGTTCCTTATATATTCTGGATATTACCCCTTATCAGATGATTTGCAACTATGTTCTCCCATTTGGCAGGTTGCCTTTTCACTCTGTTGATCATATTCTTTGAACAAAAGTTTTTGTTTGATATAGTTACTTTTGCTTTTGGTGTCATATCCAAGATATCATTGCCAAATCCAATGTCATGAACTTTTTCCCTATGCTTTCTCCTAGGCATTTTATAGTTTTGGGTCTTATGTTTCGGTCTTTAACCCATTTTGAGTTAACTTTTATTTATGGTGTAAGATAAAGGGTATAACTCTATTCTTTTGCATGTGGATATCCAGTTTCTCCAGTTCCATTTGTTGAAGAGGCTGTCCTTTCTTCACTGAGTAGTCTTTGTGTCCTTGTATGAAAATTAATTGGCTATATATGCAAGGGTTTATTTCTGGACACTTTATTCTGTTTAACTGCTCTGTGTGTCTGTCTTTATGCCAGTACCAGACTATTTTGAATACTATAGCTTTGTAATATGTTTTGAAATAAGGAAATGTGAGACCTCTAACTGTCTTCTTCCTTTTCAAGATTATTTTGGCTATTTGGGGTCCCTTGAGATTCTGTATGAATTTTAGGATGCACTTTTCTACTTGCCTTGGGATTTTGGGATTTTGATAGTGATTGTGTTGAACCTATAGATCACATTGGGTAGTATTGATATCTTAACAGTATTTTAACCCATAAACTTGGGATGTCTTTCCATTTATTTGTGTCTAATTTTTTCAGCAGTGTTTTGTAGTTTTCAGTGTACAAATCTTTCACTTCCTTGGTTAGGTTTATTCCTAAGTATTTTATTCTTTTTGATGTCATTGTAAATAAAACATGCATTTTTGAACTAATGATTTTAATCAGTGTATCATTAATAGTTGTAAATACATAGTTTTTAGTAAACACTCCATATTTGAAACAAGAAAAAATGCTGCGTACTTAAGGTATTTCGTTAATTACCTGCCTATAAAATGAAAGACATTTAAGCCCTCGTTAGTTCTAACAGTTTGTGACTTTTTTTTGTTTTTGTTTTTTTGTTTTTTTGAGACAGAGACTCACTCTGTTGCCAGGCTGGAGTACAGTGGTGCGATCTCAGCTTACTGCAGCCTCTGTCTCCCGGGTTCAAGCGATTCTCCTGCCTCAGCCTCCTGAGTAGCTGGGACTACAGGTGTGTGCCACCACGCTCAGCTAATTTTTGTATTTTTAGTAGATGAGGTTTCACGGCCAGGATGGTCTCGATCTCTTGACCTCATGATCCACCTGACTTGGCCTCCCAAAGTGCTGGGATTACAGGCATGAGCCACTGTGCCTGGCCAATTTGTGACTATTTTTTAAATCAGTTATAATGATTGCAAAGTGATATGGCAGTTTGGTTCTTGAAAGCTGATTTTTTCTGTATAGTTCTAGTATTACATTTGGATCAAAGGATGTGCTAGTTAAAAACTGTCTTGGCAGTGAAGTTTGAGAAATAGCATAGCCAACTTTATGGATTCAGGTTAATTAGTGGTTTGTATTCATGGTATGGCAAGGGCCCTACATGGATTTTCTTTTTAGAGCATGATTAAACTGGGAGCAGAAGATTTTCTAGGCAATTATTCATGGTACAAAGGTGCTCTGTGAAACCTAACTGTATTTATAAAGATCTTTGAGATAGTTTATGTTTGTCATTCCAAAAGTTATTAGGTAGAGCAGTGTACAAGAGAGGGTAGTGTGCTTTCAAACCTTTGGGCGAAATTGGACCACCTTTAGAAATGCTTCTATGGATTGGTGACATGGGCTCATCTGAAGTATTGCTTCTTGATTAGCAAATGGGAAATGAAGTAGTGGTCAGCACTACCAAGAGGTAATGTCTCTTTCAGAATGGGTGCAGCAGTGGTTATGTTTCAGATATAGGGGAGTTCTTAGGTATTTAGGGGTCCACCTCATTATTCTGGGTGGCTTCTGTTGAGTTATGGCTGGGCATGAAAATAGGTTACTGAGAATTGTTTTGAAGAGAGATGTAGGAAGGAAAAAACAGGCAAGGAATTAGGTCCAGTTTTAT
Source organism: Homo sapiens (assembly GCF_000001405.40). NCBI lineage: Eukaryota > Metazoa > Chordata > Mammalia > Primates > Hominidae > Homo > Homo sapiens. The sequence continues at coordinate 912,535 of NW_025791765.1, read as the reverse complement.
TGGAATCCTAGAAATTCTTGTTTAAATTGATTGTAAGAATAAAACAGATTATAAAATGCAGATTAATAAATGGTGAAAAACTGTAACCAGTCAAGAACTAACATGAGTCATCCATGTTTTGGTCTCTGTTCCTTCCTCATCTCTCTTCCCTCTCCTCACTCTTTTCCTGCCCCTATTCCCCATTTAAAAAAATAGATACTGCCAATAGTTTTCTTCAAAGGCAATCAATTCACATCTCAACCATACTGTATGCATGTGCTTACTTCCCCACACTGGCTGTTACTCTTTTCTTACCAGTCTACCAATAAAGTTGTCACGTTGTTTTAATTTATTTTAAAACAATTACTACTAAGACTGAATACTTTTATACATTTGCGACCATTTGTATTTGTGTTTGATCAGTCTTTTGTCAGTTTTCCCATTGATGTTTGAATTTTTCTTTTTGACTTAGTCTTTTGACTTTAAGGATTTAATATTTTTCTGAGTTTCTATTTGCATTTGAATTTTTTATTTTCTATTATTTTTATACCTGTCAGGCAACTCTCTTTTTTTTTTTTAAATGGTTTCTGCCTTTCTGATACCTTAACACCCCTAAAGATTATATATTCACCAATATTTTATGTCCGTGCTTCCATCTTTAAATGCAAATCTCTATTTCTTCAGTCCGTTGGCATCAGGTAGAGAATCTGTTTGTCCTCAAATCATTAGTCAGTTGCCTTAACACCACTTATTGAATTATATACAGTATTTCCTTTCATTCAAATTCTGTTATGTACTGGGATCTATTTCTTGATTTTTTTTTTCCCAGGGTATTTTTTTTTCTCATGTATATGTCTATGCATTTGTACATTTCTGTTTTAACTTTATTTTAGGTAATATAGCTTATTTATACATTTCATTAGCTGGCTTGGCAGGTCATCCCCTCTCCCTAAATGATTATTCTTCAAAAAGCAGTTTCTTATCTATCTTGTTTTTATTCCCTATGAATCCTCAAATCATTTTGTAAAGAAAATTTAAAGTTGCTATTTGCTTTTTGGTTACAATTACATTAAAACGTTAGATAAATTTGGAATTTGACATCTTTATAGGGTTTTCCATTTTGTTTGTCTTTCTCCTAAGTCTGTGTGTGTGTGTGTATATATATATATGTATTAAGTAAAACTGTATGAAATTATAATTTTTGTCAGTCCAACATAATTAACAACTTATTCAATCTAATATTAATATGTATGTTTTTATGCATTATTGCTTTGGCTAGAGCTTCAGAACATTGTTAAATAAGAGTGATGAAAAAGCAGGCATCCTTATGTTTTTCTGTTTTTTTAAGAGAAAAATACCTTAAGTGTTTCATTGTGTAGTATGATTGGGGTAGTTGGTTGAAGTTAGATGTTCTTAATAATAGGAAATTTCTTATATTTTTAAAGAGTTTTAGTTTTAAGAGTTATTAGGGACAGCTACTACATTTTATCCCATGGAGTTATTTTATGACCTTTTTACCTTAAGCTGTAGGAGCAGTCCTCTTAGCTGCACTGAACTCTCTTGGTGAATTTATACCCATGTCTGTTTTCCCTCTAGTAAACTCGTCCAGGGATACCCATTGGACTTGGGCTGCCTGCAGCTGCCAGGCTATACTCACACACTTCCACATTTGCTCCATTTAGTTAATGTGCATATTTTTATATTGTGGTTTTGTTTTTAACTAAAACTCTTTTTAAAAAGCTATTATATCGATATGATCCCTCATGAGTATTGATGTATCAATATATAGTAATTATTATAGTAATATATCATTATATATAATATATATTAATAATCCCTCATGAATAGATTAATGCCCTCCCCAGGGGGATGGGGAACTAAGTTCTCACATTTAATTTCCAAGAGAGTTCACCTGAGACCTGGTATTAAAATGAGCCTGTCACCACCCCCCTTGCCGCCATGTGATCTGCACACTCCTTTGCCTTCTAGGAGTGGAAGCAGCCTGAGGCCCTCAGCAGAAGCAGATGTTGGTACCACACTTCCTGTACAGCCTGCAGAACCATGAGTCAAGTAAACCTCTTTTCTTTATAAATTACCCAGCCTCCAGTACTCCTTTAAAGCAACTCAAATGGACTGAGACATCAGTTTGCTGTCAATTAATTTGATATTTAAAAAAAAAATACCAAGAAAACTTCTTATGGAATTAGGAAAGTTGCTGTTAAATTTTCTATGAAAAAATGAAAATGTAGAAATACTGGGAAAATTCTGGAAAAGTTATGAGGAATGACTAGCACAAGCAGTTATTAAAACTTGCTCTTAAACTATTATGTAATTGGTATAATTAGAATAAGTACTGGTATATAAATAGACAAATTAATGGAATAGAATAGAAATTCTAGTAATAGACCTAAGTATATATGGTTTATGTTAACCTACTTTTCTTCTGGGAGTCTGGAACTTTGGTATGTGTTAGGCAGAGGGGTACCGTGTGGCTAGCCCCAAGTAAAAACCTTGGGACTCTGTGTTAGTTTCCTATTGTGCCTGTAGCTAATTATCACAAGTTGAGTGGGTTAAAACACAAGTCTATTCTCTTATCATTCCAAAGGGCAGAAGTCTAAAGTCAGGGTGTGTGGCTGACTGCCACAGTTATGGTTTGAGACAATCATTACAGCAGTTAACTCCTGTTATTGCTTGAGACTGTCATTACTGCAGTTACTACTGGAGACCATCATTACAAGACTGAACGAAGGGACGAACATAGAAATGAAAAAAGACAAAAGAAACTGTTTTAAGGAAAGGCAACATGGGGAGAAGAGGAGAGCTCCCTGCTTCTAGTGATCAAAGGCAGCCCCCTTGAGCTTCTACAGTCCTTTCGTATTTATTGGGTAAAGAGCAAGGAGGAGGAGGTAACCATTGGTCAGCTGCTTAATTGATCACAGGTTCATGTTGTTACTGACAGGCTTCAGTTATGCCTAATCATGAGAAACATTTGTGCAGCCTCCATCTCCTTTTTGTTTTTAAATTAATTGAGCAAGACAATTGCAGATTATGCAGCCCTTAGTGGCGCCTAGACAGGAACTTGAAGGGACTATCAGGGACAAAAAGGGACCTGAAGAGAACTGAAGAGACCCGAAGAGACCTGAAAAACTAGTTCAGGCCATGATGGGAAGAGGGGGTCGGACATGTCTCATTATACCCTCCTCCCTTTGGAATTCAGGCACCACTTGTAGCTGACTGTCACTGCTACTACTTGAGACTGTCACTACAGCAGTTTCTACTGTTACTGTCTGAGACCGTCATTATGAGACTGAACGAAGGCACAAACGTAGAAATGATAACAAAAAACAAAAGTAATTTTTAAGGAAAGGCTAGCATGGGGAAGAAGAAGAGAGAAGAAAAGAATGAAAGGGCTCCCTGCTTCTAGTGAGCAAAGGCAACCCCTGAGCTTCTACAGCCCTTTTGTATTTATTGGGTAACAAGAGCATGGAGGAGGAGGTAACGATTGGTTGGCTGCTTAATTGATCACAGGTTCATATTATTACTAACAGGCTTCAGTTGTACCTAATTACAAGAAACATTTGTGTGGCCTCCAACAAGGGTGTTGGGGCTGTGCTCTTTCTGTAGGCTTCAGGGGAGAATCTTTTTCTGTCTTTTTTAGCTTCTAGAGGCTTCCTGAATTCCTTGGTTCATGGCCTCTGACATCACCCTTTTCCTAATCCAAACATCTTGCATATCACATTCTGTTCCTCTGAGTGTGATTATTAATATATTTGGCCCATCTGACTAATCTGGGATAATCTCCCCATCTCAAAATCCTTAATTTAATCACATCTACAAAATTCCTTTTGCCATGTAAGGTAACATTCACAGCTTCCTGGGATTAGGACATGGACATTTTGGGGAGTCATTATTCAGCCTACCACAGACATTGAGTTTCTAATGAGCTTTCTTGATAGATGTGACACCAAAAGCACAAACAACAAAAGGGGAGAAAATAGATAAAGTAGACATCAAAATTTGAAAGTTTTGTGCTTTAAAAAGCCCTATAAAGAAAGCAGAAAACCCACAGAATGGAAGAAAAATTTTCGCAAATCATGTATCTGATAAAGGGATATGTATCTAGAATGTATAAAGAACTCATAACCTCAGTTACAACAGACAGTGCAATTAAAAAATGGGCAGGGGATCTGAATAGGCATTTCTCCTAATAAAGATATATAATAAACGTATGAAAAGATGCTCTACATCATTAGCTATCAGAGAAATACAAATGAAAACCAAAATGAGATTCCATTTCACACCCACCAATATGGCTACGATCAAACAGATGGATAATAAATGTTGGCAAGGGTGCGGAGACATTGGAATGTCTTGTTGCTTTATGGGTAACATAAGATGGTGCAGCTGCTTTGGAAAACAGTTTGGTAGGTCCTGAAAATACGGAGTTACTGTATGACCCACAGTTATGCTCCTTAGTATATACTCCAAAGAAACGAAAACACAAAAACTTGCACATAAAAACTTGTGCAGGAACATTCATAGCAGCATTATTTATAGTAGCCAAAAAGTGGAAACAACTGAAATGTTTGAAGAATAGATCAAATGGAATATTATTCAGCCATAGAAATGAGTGAAGTATTATTATGAATGCTTGTTACAACACAGGTGAACCTTGAAAACATTGTGATAAGTGAACAAAGCCACTCACAAAAGACCATATAAGACCATAGAAGCCATTTATATGAAATGTCCAGAATAGGCAAATCCACAGAGACAAAATAGATAACATGGTTGTCTAGAACTATGGAGAGCAGTGTAGGGAGTGACTGATGATGGGTACAAGGGTTTTTCTTTGGGATGGTGGTTGAACAACTCTGAATACACTGAAAACTATGCATTATATACTTAAAATGGGAGCTGTTATTAAACAAGTTTTATTAAAAATTGATAGGCTTTTCATCTAAGGGGGAAAAAACCTAAATGAGATACCATTTCTCACTTATTTGGGTGGCAAAGTTCTAAAAGCTTCACAACACTTTCGATGAGACTGCAGGAAAGCACGTGTTCTCACACCTTGTTAGTTGGAATGCAAAAAAGATACAACCTTAATGGAAAGAAGTTTGGCACAGTGTCTAACAAAATTACATATATGTTACGGTTTTCACCTAGCAATCTCATTTTTAGGAATTGGCTGTTTTAACAATACAAATACATATATATAAGGTTATTCATAGCATGATGATTTGTGAATGAAAACTATTGGAAATGACCTAAATGCCCCTATATAGTTGAATAAATTGTTACATCCACATAATGGATCATTATGCACCTTAAAAAAGAATGAGGAAAACCTCTAGAATATGCTTTTTAGTGATTTCCAAAGTATATTGATAAATGAAAGCAGCAAGGTTATAAAGAGTGTATGTGTGTGGATAGCTACCTTAACAGATTTTTAAACTTTTTTTTTTTTTTTTTTTTTTTTTTTTTTTTTTTTTTTGGTGTGTAGTTCTGTGAGTTTCAGCACATGTATAGATTTGAATAACCACTACCATAGTCAGGATACAGAACATTTTCATTACCCTCCAAAACCTGTGCTATCTCCATATAGTCCACTTCTGACTCTTGTCAACCACTGATCTGTTATGTGTCACTGTAATTTTCTCTTTTTGAGAATGTCATATAAATGAAATTAGTGTGTATAATTTGAGATTGTATGGTTTTAAGACTGGTTTATTTTACTCAGCACAAGACACTTGAGATTCTTCCAACTTGTGTGTCTTGATAGTTAGTCTCTAATGTTGAGTAGTATTCTGTTGTATGAATATACCATGATTTATTTGTTCATCTGTTGAAATTTTGGGTTGTTTGCAGTTTGGGGCTGTTATAAATAAAGCCGCTTTGAACATTCATGTGTAAGTCTTTGTATGCACATGTATTTTATTTTCTCTCAGGTAAGTACATATGAGTGGAATGTCTGGATCCTATGGTAGCTGTATGTTTAAGAAACTGCTAACCTGTTTTCCAAAGCGGCTGTACCATTTTATATTCCCATAAGAAGTGTATGAGAGTTCCATTTCCTCCATATGCTTGCCAGTGCTTGGTATGGTCAGTCCTTTAATTTTAGCCATCTTAACAGGTGTGTAGTGGTACAGGCATTTCTCATTTTATTGCACTTTGCCTCCTTCACAGCCAATATGCTGTTTACAAATGGAAGGTTTGTGGCAATCCTGCCTGACACAAATCTATTAGCACCATTTTTCCAATAGCATATGCTCACTTCTATTTTTATGTCACATTTTGGTAAGTCTCACAATATTTCAGGCTTTTTCAGTATTAAATCTGTAATGGTAATCTGCAATCAGTGATCTTTGATGTGATTGTGTAATTGTTTTGGGATGCCCACAAACCACACCCATATGACACTGCAGGCTTAACTGATAAATGCCTGTGTTCTGACTGCTCCAACTGGCTGTTCCCCCACTTCTCGCCCCTCCTCAGGCTGTCGTTTTCTCTGAGACAACAATATTGAAATTAGGACAATTAGTAGTACTAAATAGCATCTAAGTGTTCAAGTGAAAGGAAGAGTCACACCTCTCCCTTATAAATCAAAAGCTAGATATGATTAAGCTTAGCGAGGAGAGCATGTCAAAGCTGAGAAAGGCCAAAAGCTAGGCCTCTCGTACCAAACAGCCAAGTTGTGAATGCAAAGGAGAAGTTCTTTAAGGAAGTTAAAAGTGCTACTCTGGTGAACAAATGAATGATAAGAAAGCAAAACAGCCTTATTGCTGATAGGAGTAAGCTTTAGTGTTCAGGATAGAAGATCAGACCAGCCACAAGCATTCTATTAGGTCAGAGTTTAATCCAGAGCAAGGCCCCTCTCTTCTCTTCAGTTCTATGAAGACTGAGAGAGGGGAAGAAGCTGCAGAAGAACAGTTGGCAGCCAGGAGAGGTTGGTTCATGAGGCTTAAGGAAAGAAGACAGTTTCATCACATAAAGTGCAAGGTGAAGTGGTTAAGTGCCGATGTACAAGTTGCAGCAAGTTTTCCAGAAGATCTGGCTAAGATCATTGATAAACGTGGCCACGCTAAACAACAGATTTTCCATGTAGATGAAACAGCCTTCTTTTGGAAGATGCCATCTTGGTCTCTCATAGCTAGAGAGGAGAAGTCAGTGCCTAGCGTCAAAGCTTCGAAGGACAGGCTGACTCTCTTGTTAGGAACTAATGAAGCTGGTAACTTTAAGTTGAAGCCAATGCTCATCTGTCATGCTGAAAAAATTCTAGGGACCTTAAGAATTATGCTAAATCTACTCTGCCTGTGCTTTATAACTGGAACAAGAAAGCCTGAATGACAGCACATCTGTTTATAATGTGGTTTACTGAATATTTTAAGCCCACTGTTGAGACCTACTGCTCGGAAAAAATATTACTTTCCAAATATTACTGCTTGTTAAAAAGGCAACTGGTCACCCAGGAGCACTGATGGAGATGTACAAGGAGCTGCATGTTGTTTTCGTGCCTGCTAACACAGCATCCATTCTGCAGCCAAGGATCAAGAAGTAATTTCAAGTTTCATGTCTTATTTTAAAAATACATTTTTTAAGGCTATAGCTGCCACAGAGACTGAGTCCTCAGTTGGATCTGGGCAAAGTCCATTGAAAACCTCCTGGAAAGGATTTGCCATTCTAGATGCCATTAAGAATATTTGTGATTCATAGGAGGAGGTCAGAATATCAACAAGAGTTTGGAAGAAGTTGCTTCCAACCTTCATGGATGACTTTGAGGAGTTCAAGATGTCAGTAGAGGAAGTGACTGCAGATACAGTGGAAATAGCAAGAGAACTAGGATTAGAAGTGAAGCTTGGGCTGGGTATGGTAGCCCTTTCAGAGGCCTAGGCGGGAGGAATATGGAGCCCAGGAGTTCAAGGACCTCCTGAGCACTGTGGCAAAACCCTGTCTCTACAAAAACTACAAAAATTAGCTAGGTGTGGTGGCTCTCACCTGTTGTCCCAGCTACTCAGGAGGCTGTGGTGGGAGGATTGTTAGAGCCCAGGAAGTCAAGGCTGCAGTAAGCACTCCAGCCTGGGCAACAGAGTGGCTGGCATCCTGAAGATGTAACTGAATTGCTGCAGTGTTACGATAAAACTTGAACAAATGAAGAGTTGCTTCTTATAGATGAAGTGATTTCTTGAGATGAAATCTGCTCCTGGTGAAGATGCTGTGAACATTGTTGAAATGGCAGCAAAGGATTCAGGGTATTATCAACTTAGTCGATAAAGTAGTAGCAGGGTTAGAGAAGATTGACTCCAGTTTTGAAATAAGTTCTTCTGTGGGTAAAATGCTGTCAAACAGCATTGCATGCTACAGAGAAATCTTTCATGAAATGGCAGCAAACTTCATTGCTGTTTTTTATTATTATTATTTATTATTATTTTTTTCCCCAAGACCGAGTCTTGCTCTGTCACCCAGGCTGGAGTGCAGTGGCGCAGTCTCGGCTCACTGCAACCTCCACCTCCCGGGTTCAAGCAGTTCTTCTGCCATGACCTCCCGAGTAGCTGGGATTGCAGGCGCCCCCCACCACACCTGGCTAATTTTTGTATTTTTAATAGAGACGGGGGTTTCACTATGTTGGCCAGGTTGGTCTCGAACTCCTGACCTCATGATCCGCCTGCCTCTGCCTCCCAAAGTGCTGGGATTATAGGCATGAGCCACCACGCCTGGCCCATTGCTGTTTCAAGAAATTGCCACAGCCACCCCACCCTTCAGCAACCATTATCCTGATCCTGATCAACCTTGAGGCAAGACTCTCCACTAGCCAAAAGATTATGACTTGCTGAAGGTTCAGATAATTGTTAGGATTTTTTAGCAATAAAGTATTTTTAAGTTAAGATATATACTTTCTTAGATACAATGCTATTGCGCTCTTAATAGATTACAATACAGTGTAAATGTAGCTTTTATAAGCACTGGGAAATCAAGAAAACTTACCTGACTTGCTTTATTGTGTGATATAGGTTTTATTGTGGTGGTCTGGAACCAAACCTGGCAATATCTCTGAGGCATTCCTGCATTTCATTGTAATTTTAATTGTATTTCTCTGGTGAATAATGATGTTGAGCATCTTTTCATGTGCTTATTTGCCATCCATATATCTCATTTGGTAAAGTGTCTTTTCACATCTTTTGCCCATGTTTTATTAGGCTATTTTCTTATTTTTGAGATTTGAGAGTTCTTTATATGTTCTGGGTACCAGTATTCTGGAGATACATATTTACAAGGATTCCTTCCAAGTCTGAGGTTTGTGTTTTTATTCTCATAACAGTCTTTTGAAGAGCAGAAGTTTTTAATTGATTGAATCAACTTTACCAATTTGCTCTTTTATAGATCATGTTTTTGGTATCGTATCTAAGAAATCTCTGCCTAATGCAAGGTCACAAAGATTTTCTCCTGTATTCTTTTCTGGAAGTTTTATAGTGGTAGGTCTTTCATTTAGATCTGTGATTGATTTTGAGTTCATTTTACATATGATATGAGTTTTGTACCCAAGTTCTTTTTTTTTTTTTTTTTTGCATATAAATAACCAGTTCTTCTAGTGTCTATTAAAAAGTCAATTAAAAAGACTACTACCCTTTTCCCACTGTATTGTGCTTGTACTTGTTGAAAAGCAATTGCATGTACATGTGTGAGTTTATTTCTGGTTGTCTGTCTCTCTTTTGTTCTGTTAATCTATTTTTCTGCCTTGATGCCAGTACCACACTGTCTTGACTGCAGCTGTATTATAGTTACCGAAACAGTGTCAGTTCACCAACTTTGTTCTGTTTCAGAGTTTTGCCTATTCAAGATCCTTCACATTTCATTATGAATTTTAGAATCAGCTTATCAATTTGTACAACAGAGCCTTCTTGGGTATTGATTGGGACTGTGTTGAATCTATAGATGAATTTGTGGGGGGAACTGACTTCTTAACAGTATTTAGTTTTCTGACACATGAACAGGGATATTTTCACCATTTATTTAGGTCTTTAATGTAGTTTTCAGTATAAAATTTTTAAAGTATCTTTTGTCATATTTATCTCTAAGTATTTCATATTTTTGATACTAGTTTATTAATAAATGATATTTTTTTAAAATCTCAATTTCTGGTTCATTGCTAGTATATAGAAGTAAATTTTATGTTGATCTTGTATTCTGTAATCTTGCTAAACTGACTTAATAGTTCTAATAGCTTTTCTGTAGATTGCATTGGACTTTTTACGTAGATGATCATGTCTGCAAATACGTTTTTTTCCAGTCTGGATACCTTCTGTTTTGCTTACCTGATTGTACTGCTTATGACCTCCAGTGCAATGTTGAATAGAAGTAGTAAAAGTGGACATCTCTGTCTTGTTCATAATCTTAGGGGGGAAGCATTCAGTCTTCCACCATTAAGTATGCTGTTAGCCATAGGTTTTTCATAGATGCCCTTTCCCAGGTTGAGGAGGTTCTTTTATGTCTTGTTTGAAGAGAGTTTTTAACAGGAATGGATATTTATCAAATGCCTTGTCTGTATCATGGATTTTTTTGGTTAACATGATGAATGACTAACCTTGCATTTTTTTCTTGGTCATGATAGGTATTATGCAATTTATTTTAAAGTTTTGTTTGTTTGTTTGTTTGCTAAGACTTAGAATTTTTGTATCTTTGGTCATTAGGAATATTGGTCTTTTTTTTTTTTTTTCTTGTAATACCTTCCCTTTCAGTATTAGAGTAATGCTGGTCTCATAAAATCAGTTGAGATGTGTTTTTCCTTTTTAATTTTTTGGAAGAATCTGTATAAAACTGGTGTTATTTCTTCCATAAATATGTGGTAAGAATTACCATTGAAGCCATCTAGGCTTGGAGTTTACTTTATGGGGATTTTTTTAACCACAATTTCAATTTTTAAGAAGCAGGGCTCTTCAGGTTATCTATTTCTTCCTGAGTGAACTTTGGTAATTAATATCTTTCAAAGAATTTGTTCATTTCATCTAAGTTGTCAAATTAATTGGCAAAGTTGTTCATAATGTTCCCTTACTATCTTTTGAATATTTGTAGCAACTGTAATGATGACACTTCTCTTATTCCTGAAACTTATAATTTGTGTTTTCTGTCGTTTTTTTCTTGATCAGACTGGCTACAAGTTTATTAATTTTAATCTCACAAAAAGCATCTTTTGGCTTTATTATTCTCTGTATATGTTTGTATTTGTCTCACTTTTTCTGTTTCATTGACTTTTTCACTTGAATTTTATTTCTCTTTTTTTTTTCTTTGCTTACTTAGAGTGTAATTTTTCCTTTATTTTCTAGTTTCTTAAGGTGGATACTGAGGTTTTTGATTTGAGGTCTTTGGGTATTTATCAAAGATCTTTTTGTTATTGATACATAATTTAATTCCATTCTGGCCAGAGACCATACTTGGTATGACATTAGTTCTTTTGAGACTTGTTTTGTGACTTTGAATATAGGCTATCTTGGTGAATGTGTGCATTTGAGAAGAATATGTCTTCTGCTGTTGTTGGAGTACTCTGTCAATGTCAGTCAGGTTGGTTGTAGTGCTGTTCAAGTTCACCATTTTCTTGCTGATTTTTTGCCTGCTTTATTCATCAATTATTGAGAAACACATATCTGTATTCCACCTGGTATCATTTCCTTCTGCCTGAAGGATTTTTTTGTAGTGTGGATCTGCTAGTAATGAATTCTTTCAGGTTTTATATCTCTGAAAATGTCTTCATTTTGCCTTTGTTCTCAGATACTTTTATTTGCTATAGAATTACAGGTCGACATGTTTTTTTTTTTCTTTTTCTTTTAGTCTTTAAAGAGATACTGTCTTCCCACTTGCATTGTTTTCCAGAAGAAATTTGATGTCATCCTTATCTTTGTTCCTCTGTATATAACATGTCTTTTTTTTTCTCTTGATACTTTTAAGATTTTTTTTGTAAATCTGGTTTGAAATAATTTGATTATCTCTTGGTGTAGTTTTTTTCATGTTTGTTGAGCTCAGGGTTTGTTGAGCTTCTTGGATCTCTGGATTTATAGTTTTCATTAAGTTTGGGACATTTTTGCTTACTATTTCTTTAAACATTTTTCCTGTCCTCCTCCTCCTCCTCCTCCTCCCAACCCCATTTTGAGGATTCCAGTTCTGCAGGCATTAGACAGCTTGAAGTTGATCCCACAGCACATTGCACTGTTTAGGTTTTTTAGATCTTTTCCTGCGTGTTCCATTTTGGATGGGTCTACTGCTATGCCTTCAAGTTCCCTAATTTTTTCTTTTGCATGTCTAATCCACCCTTAATCCCATCCATCACATTTTTTTCATCTCACAAATTGTGGTTTCATCTCTGGAAGTATAATTTGTCTTTGTATCTTCCATCTCTCTACTTAACTTTTTGAACATATGGAACACATTTATAATACCTGTTTTATTGTCTTGTCTGCTAACTTCTGTGCCAGTTCTAGGTTGGTTTCAATGGATTATTCTCGTATTGGGTCATGTTTTTCTGTCTCTTGTGTGTGCCTGATAATCTTTGATTGGATGCCAGATATTGCAAATTTTACGTTGTTGGGTGCTGCTATTTTTGTATTCCCATAAATATTCTTGAGCTTTGTTTTAAGATGCAGTTAAGTTACTTGACAGTTTGATATTCTGGGATGTCTTGCTTTTAAGATGTGTTAAGTGGGTCTGGAACATTGTTCAGTTTTGGACTGATTATTCCCCACAGCTGAGGTAAGGCCCTCCTGAGCACTCTGTCCAGTATGTCATGAGTTCTGGATTTTTTTCCAGTTGGTATAAATAGGTACTGTTTCTGACCCTGTTTGAATGGTGGGCATTGTTCCTCTAATCCTTTTGGATGGTTCCTTCCCCAGCGTTGGGGAGTTACCTCACACAAATGCACTGATCAGTACTTCACCGAGGACTCAATGGGGACCCTCTGTAGTTCTCCAGGGTTCTCTATGCAGCTCACTCCATTTTGGTATTCTTTTCTATGAACTCTAATTGCCTTGGTTTCCTCGGACTCTCAGCTTTGTCTCATCAATTTGGAAAATCCACCAAGCTCTACCACTGTTTCCCCTCCCTGCACTGTGGCCTAGTAACTCCCTTGAGGCAGTAAGCTGGGCCAATCATAGGGCTTACCTTGTTTGTTTCCCATGTCCTTCGTTGACTGATGTTTAGGGTCTGAAAATGATCATTTAATTAATGCAGTTCGTGTGAGTTTCTGGTTGCTTCAGGATGGGAGGGTACATCATGCCCAGAAGTAGAAGTTCATATGTCTGCATCAGTTATTATTCTACAGTGTAACTGGCATTGTTATTTTCAGATGTTATTCCTAAACCTCTTGGTACAGAAAATTTTTGGTAATTAATGTGAGATAGTATGGTGTATTAGTTTCCCTTTGCTGTTACTGTAACAAATAACCACAAATTTAGTGGCTTAAAAACAACACAACTTTATTATTTTATGGTTCTGGAGATCAGAAGTCCGTATGTAGTGAGTCTCACAGGCTAAAATCAAGATGTTTGTAGGCCCCTACTCTATACCCACAAAATTAAAAAAGATTTTTTTTAATATGTGTTTGTAGGACTGTATTTCTTTCTGAAGGCCCTAGGGGAGAATTTGTTGGCTTGAGTTTTCCAGCTTCTAGAGGCCACCTACATTCCTTGGCTTGTAGCCCCTTCCCCTGCCTTCAAAGCCAGCAGCATTGGGCCGAGTCCTCCTTATGTGCCTTCTCTCTGGGTCACCCTCTTCTGCCTCCCTCTTCCACTTTTAAGGACATTGGGCCCACCTAGGTAACCCAGAATAACCTCCCTATTTTAACATCAGCTGATTAGAGCCTTAATTGCATCTGGGAGCTTAATTCCCCTTTGCCATGTGATTTGGCATATTCACAAGATCCCGAGGTTAGGATGTGGGCGTCTTGGAGTGGGCTGATGACTATTATTTTGCCCACCACAGATTGATGGTTTTTAGAATGGTCTCTGCCTAAGACTGCCTGCCTGCCTGCCTGCCTGCCCGCCTGCCTGCCCGCCTTCCCTCCCTCCCGCCCGCCTTCCCTCCCTCCCCTCCCTCCCTCCCTCCCCTTTCTTTCCTTTCTTTCCTTTTTCTTTTCTTTCTTTTTTAACAGGGGATCTCATTCTGTCACCCAGGTGGGAGTAGTGCAGTTTCTGGGGGGTCTTGCTTTTAAGATGTGTTAGGTGGGCCTGGAACATTGTTCAGTTTTGGACTGATTATTCCCCACAGCTGAGGTAAGGCCCTCCTGAGCAGTCTCTCTGGTATGTCATGAGTTCTGGATTTTTCCAGTTGGCAGAAATAGGCACTGTTTCTGACCTTGTGTTTCTGTTTCTGAAATGGCAGATCTCGGCTCACTGCAGCCTTCACCTCCCAGGTTCAAGGGATTCTCCTGCCTCAGCCTCCCGAGTAGCTGGGATTACAGGCATGTGGCACCACTCCCGGCTAATTTTTGTAGTTTTAGTAGAGATGGGGTTTCACCATGTTGGCCATGCTGGTCTCAAACTCCTGACCTCAAGTGATCCACCCAGCTTGGCCTCTCAAAGTGCTGGGATTATAGGTGTGAGCCACTGTGCCCGCTCCTTTCTTTTGATGACAGTGAAGAATTGTCTATATAGGATTTTATTTTATTTTGCTTATTTTTTTAAGACAGGGTCTTGCTCTGTCACCCAGGCTGGAATGTAGTGGTGTGATGGCAGCTCACTGCAGCCTCGACCTCTGGGGCTCAAGCAATCCTCCTGCCTCAGCCCCCTGAGTAGCTGGGACTATAGGCATGCACCACCATGCCCAGCTAATTAGGATTTTCTTTTTAACCTACACACAGTAAGACATTATTAGAAACAATGAGACTACAAACCTATACTTTAAAAATGTGTTGGTTATATATAGCCTGTCTGTCATACATAGCATTTAGAAGTAGCTTATTTTAATTTCAGGTATGATTCAGAAAACTTTATGGATTATTTCACAAAGTTTTGATTTGAGAATTTCTCAGCCCATTGCATTTGGCAACGTATAGAAACTTTCAAGCTTGGGAAATTGATTGATAGCCACAAATGTAATTTTAGATCAGTATCAACTGTCTTATATTTCAGTATTTTTTTTCTTTTAAAATTGAAGAATGGTATATTTTCCCCCCTTCCTCCACTTATCACAGCTAATGCCTTATGTTCTTTGTTGCTTTTGTCACGTGGAACACCTCCTTGTGTGCTATTTTCCTGTCAGGACTTCAGTGTGTCATCCCCCACATTGTCAGCAATTTCAGTGATCTCTGAAAAAGCCCAGGATTTTCTCCCTGACCTTTACCCAGTGCCCTTTGTAAAGGGTTATGTATACCTGATTTGATGGAATAATTTATGTATAGCAGCTCTGAGCTGAAGTTAGCACTTTTGCTTCCATAACTGTCTTCATATTGTATTTGACTCCCATCTTCTTCATATGTTTAAATAATTATTGATAGAATTCTAAAGTAGTAGTTTATTTAAGCCAGAAGTTAATGTGCAAGGTGAATAATAATTTTAATCATTCTTTATACTCCCCCCACCATAGGCTACATTAAAAACAAACCCGGCTTTTATTTGTCCAAGAATGGTTGAGTGTCAGTAGGTCAGTAGAGCCAGTTCCAGAGCACATAGTCAAGCCAGCAGGTATTTGTAATACCTTCTCTTCTGCTGCGTTCTGCTTGCTTCTACTTGCACACTCCTGGGTAAAAGTGAATGAGATATGTCCAGCATGGCAGACCACCAGAAGTTGGCCATAGCACTCAGCACTTTGTCCTTGCTTCAGGAATAGGCCCAGATGGTTACTCTTCTCTGGCCACAATCCTGGGACCAGAAGCCCAGTCAGCAGAGCACCTGCTCTTCCACCAGGCTGGTTTGTGCCTGGAGTGAGTGGTGAATAGATGAGGTCAAGGCTTTGCAAATGGATGGCTTTTCTTCACGTATTGGTTTATCATTTACTTGTTGTGTGTGTCCTTGGGCAAATTATTTGTGGACCTTTCTCAACTGTACAGTGGGCATAAACATGCTTAATAGAGTTGCTAGGCACTTTGCCATAGGTCTTGAAATGTTAGTTTTCAGATATGTTTGCAGATTAGGCGTGCTATCTTTTGTCTCCTCTCTCTGTACTGTTTCTTTTGGCCTATGTCTCTATTTACCTCCTCCCGCACCTTGCCTCCAGTGAAAGAAACCAGGCATGGAGCATTTGTCTCTTGGATCAGCCTTGATACCCTTATGCTCCCTACTGAGCAGTTCCTTGGGGCCAAGGGGAGTCTAAGGCCATCCCCAAAAGAGGTAGCCATTTCTTTAAGGTACTGTGTTTTATTTATTCAAATTTTGCATTCCGTTTCAGTATCCATGCTGGTTCCAGTAGAAAAACAGATTTTCCCAAGTGGATACACCTTAAGATGTGTCTCATGCTTTGTACTTAGGGCTCACAATAGCACGTTTCTGGAAACATTTCTGTGTTTCAGCAGTACTATAACAGTCATTCTTCATCAACAAGGAGAATGGAATGGAATGGAATGTTGCCAGGGTCTTGGTTCACAGAGGTAGACTAACTTTGACCTTCCTGGGACCCTGAACAACTCCACATCAGACAGATCGTTGTGAAAGGCACTGAGTAACATTTAGATAAGTGGATGATTTTGCATTTTTTACAGTAACATCAGAAAGTCCAGTGTTGTATGAAACACTGCTTATTAATAAAGTAAGAGCATGTGGTTAGATATCAGCTACTTGTAGGAGAATATGCGTGGCTTTCAGTTTCATAGTTCTATTCCTGCAGATTTTTATTGCATCAACTTGTTTTATTTGAGCAGTTTGTGTACAGTGATGTATGGAATAATCTTCACCAAATAGTGTGTAGATATGTTTTTGACTCATAGCAGAATAAGTACTCTAAGGCCTTAGAATAGTAGCCTGGGAAGACAAATGTTAGCACAGAAAGATACATCATTCTTAGATAGCCAAGAAGACCTGCAGGTGTCATTAATTAGCATCTGAAAAGGAAATATTTTGGAAAACATAAATAATACAGGCAGTTAGGTGTCTGCAGCCAGAGAGTTAGAGAAGGAAAGAAGTAACAGACTAATGGAGGGGAGTTGTCAGGGAAGGAGGTGTTGGGGCAGAAGGGCCCAAACATGGGGAGCTTGGTGGAGGGCCTGGAAGAAACTGGTGATTAAAGCAACAATTGTCTGTCTAAGCACACACACCCTTACCCTGCCCCTATCATTAGGCGGCTGGCCTTATGATATGTACTGTGTACAGGGTAACTTCTCTTTTGTACAATTGAAGATAAAAGGCTTAATTTATACATGTCTAGTGGTCATAATACATCAACAAATTGCTCTTAAATGAGTTAGTTTGTCAGCTGAATTAACTAACATAAATGTTGTCATATCCTTTTCCTTTTTTTTTTTTTGAAACAGAGTCTGTCTCTGTCACCCATACTCAAGTGCAGTGAGTGGCACAATTATGGCTCACTGCAGCCTCGATCTCCTAGGCTCATGTGATCCTCCCATCTTAGCCTCCCAAGTAGCTAAGACTAGAGGTGCGCCTCCAGGCCCAGCTAATTTTTTTTTTTCTTTAGTAGAGATGAGGTTTCACTCTGTTGCCCAGGCTGGTCTCGAACTCCAGACCTCTAACCATCCTCCCACTTTGGCCTCCCAAGGTGCTGGGATTACAGGCAAGAACCAGTGCGCCTGCCCGATATCCTTATTCTGATGGGAAGGATGTGCCTTAGCAAACTGGTTCAAATGAGAAGTTGGGGAAGGAGTATAATCTTCTGGATAATGGGAGCCAGGAAACTTGCCAGGTCTCGTCTTCACTACGCACAGATGAGTGGGAGATGTTGGGAGTCACTCTTGCTTTGTGCAGGCTTCCCTACAAACATGTCAGCACTGCTTGGCATACTTCCTGAAACTTATGTTTTTGTCTGAACATTGCCCCTCCAAAGGGAGAACTCATTTTCCGAGACCCTACTGCAGGGAGATAGGAGTGCCCACTGTGTTGTCTGAAATGTGTGTGGTACACAGCAAGTGCTCAGTAAGTCTCAATTCAGTTGAAAGTTGAATTACACACTGACAGGCAGGTTCATGACTATTCCCATGTTTACGTCCGAAGTTCATGTTGGTGTCTCAAAGTGTTAACACTTAAAATATTAAAACACCACATTGAGATATACATAATATATAATATATATATAATAAAGGAAACATAGACCCTCTGCGCCCTTATCTGGTAGTCACTCCTCGGTTCTTATCTGGTCACTAGGCTAGACAGAACACCAGCAAATTAATTCGTTAATTTTTATTCAGTAGGTGCCATGTCTTAGGCTGGGTGTAGAAAGATAATGACACAATTCTGGCTTTGCAAGAGCTTTCAGTGTGGTGGAGTGAACAGGCCTACAGATGGATGCTGAGTTATAAGTGGTTGCCAGGATAGGTCGGGTGCTGGGGACAGGACTTAGTGTACTAGGGCATTACTTAGAATAAGTAACTCATTTTGAGGTCTTAGGCAGTAAGACATTATAGCCTTGTTATGTGTCTGTGTCTCAGAGTTCTGAGATTTTTCTTCTGTGCCTCCCACCTTAAAAAACCTCTCCAAAAAAAAAAACAACCTAAAAAAAGTGGCGTAAGACATCCCAACAGGATGTGTTACATGGGAAGACAACATGGTATGATAAGAAGAGCATCGAGGCTCTAGTGCTTACTAGCTCTGTGACCTTGTACAAGTTACTTATCCCTGAGAGTCTGTTTCCTCTTAGACTAAGTGGGAATAAAAGTATTCTGTGGAATGTTGAAGAGGTTAAACTTTTGGTTTGAGGATGCTTAATCTATTTAGCTTCATCTTCTCTCCCCCCACTATCAACCCTCTTGAAAAATTTTCCATTGCACCGTTCGAATTAGTTGAGTATACAGTTTTTTATTATAAGCAGTTTGTTACTTATTAAATTTCTTATTTCCATGTGATCTTTATACTCTTTTTTTTTTCTCTTTCCTTTCTGACAATTTGTCTGTACCCAGGGAATTTAAATAAATAAACATTTCATTTTGTAGTCACATATGAATAAATTTACACACTGTACTGTTTTATGTTACACTTCCTGTTTTCTGTCAGTGTGCATCTTTCATGCAACCAGTATATTTTTCAGTACACTGCTGGGTCCTTGGATATGTTTATGAGTAAGATAGTAATTAGCTTCCAAGAATTTTTTTGTTAGAGACAGGCATAAACAATTACAGTGTAAGATTAAAGGTACATATTAATATGTGTGTGCCACAGGAGAGAGCTAGGTTGACTGTATACACAGACCTGTGTATCAGTCAGCTTATGAAATTAGAGAGGACAGTTCTAATGGGGCATTAGGTCTGGATCTGAGTAACTCCCTTTTATGGTGAGTCAAAACAATACTCCATAAGTTCCATCTGACTCACCGCCCCCATCTAAGAAGTGTGCCGTTTGTTTGTTTGTTTGTTTGTTTGTTTTAGGTGGTGGGCAGGTGTGGTTGAATTCACACCTGTGAACACCCCTGGAACAAGTTTGGTCAAAGCAAGGGCTTGTCTTCGTAAGTGATTAGT
The DNA here is from genome assembly GCF_000001405.40 of Homo sapiens. NCBI lineage: Eukaryota > Metazoa > Chordata > Mammalia > Primates > Hominidae > Homo > Homo sapiens. Next base: position 892,959 of record NW_025791765.1, on the reverse strand, counting down.
CTTGTCATCTTATATGAGGGACCTGCCTGGCTACCTTTCTCAGTGGTGTAGAGAGTAAACAGACTGCTGACTTGGAATATGGGCTTGACTGTGACCTTGAGCAAGTTAACTAGTCCTCATGTGTCAGCTTCCTAATTTGTTTAATGGGGATAATAGGAATACCTGTCTTCTAGGGTTGGTGTGAGTATTGAATCATCTGTAGGGCTTGGTATGTAGTAAGTGCTGGATTAGTGCTAGCTCTTGTTGCATATTCATGTTATGTTTGACTCTGGACTACTTGTGTAATCCCAGGTGAGCCAACTTGAAGCTATTTTCAGTTGGACCAGACCAACTCCTTAGTCTGAAGGTAATCCATGTAGTCAGCTCAACAAACATTTATTGAGGGCCACTGTGTCAGACACTGGATTGGTCGTTGGAACCTAAGAGATGAAGAAGGGGTGATTCCTGGCCTCAAGTAGTTTATACCTTTTATTTATTGTGTTCTCTTTAGTTTCTCAAAATACTTTTAAGATCAAGACATTCAAAGAATTAAGATTTGAAGAGTGGAAGAAATTTTAAAAAATTAGGAAAGGGTTCTTTTAAAGTAATGTATTAGGTAATTTAGGGAGAAATTGTCCCTTCCAGACTCTGTTAACCACCCGGAAAGATTTTGTCTGAGTCGAATGCCAGACACCTTGCTGGTTTAACTACTGCTAAGTTATGTTGCAGTGAGCAGAGAACAGCCGATTTACCCTGTGAGGCTTACATGTTCAGTGTATGCATTGTCAGCTCTAGTAATTATTCTAACATACTAGATATTCATGATAGAAATTTGTTTTATGACAAGGGAAAAATATACCCCTGTCAAAATGATAGCAAATAAATTTGATAATTTTGCAATTTAAGTTTTTTTTTAAAAAATTGCTTTTGTTCAATTTTTTTGTTTCTAGGCTTTGCTTACTTTCTCTTTTACTGAATTATCCTTGCATTACTGTTCTTTTTCTACTCAAATTTTTAGCTCTAGCAGGAAAAGCCACCCTAGGAAAATTGACTAATGCCATCTAGTTCTACCTTTATGTGAATTTCAGGGTTACATTTAAATCACTTCTCCATGGGCAGGCAAAAGAAAGGTAGAAAATAGCTTTTGAAGTTAGCCTGTCTAGGAGTAGGTAATTTTACACAATCTAAATTCACAGGAGAATTTCTTCAGATTTTTAGGAGCAGTAATTTTCATTACACATTCCCTAATTTCATTAGGAAATTTTTAAGTAATCTGTGCTGTTTGTGAGATTAGATGAATTGGTGCCCAGCCATGGGGCTTGTCACAGCCATCCAGATTCATCATTCCTGGTGTCCACTTGGTGCTTAGCAGCGTGGCCCTTGGTAGTAAGTGGTAGCTATTATGTGCCAGGTAATCTATGCAGTAGTGCCTGTTTTAAAAATGTTGGAGAAACCAGCCCCACACCACCTGGCGGGTACCCCGAGTCCAGCGGAGACAAAGGAGTTAGAAAGAGACAGAATAAGAGTTTAAAAGGTGGGTCCAGGGGACCAGAGTGTCAGAGGCTTGCTCACAGCCCGGAACTCTCAGCCTCCACCCAATTTATTGGTTTACAAGCTCTTTGTTCTTAGGGTAGATGGGAGGGGTACGAAGCGATGAGGAAAAGAATTAATCGGTGAAGGAGAACTCGTCAGTCATTCAATAAGATATATAGCAGTGGCGGTTTCTGTGAATTTCCCCAAGCAAAGGCGTGTGTCTAAACGGCTTAAGATCTTTAACTTACCGGGACTGAAATGGGTGGGAGTGGGTTTCAAGAGGAACCAAGATGTTTGATTATACTCCACTGTTTCAAGGGAGTGTTATTTCCCCGAGCAACCTGTGGCATGCCGCGGAGCTCTTACGCTCTTGGGGCATAAAGACATGAAGGCAATAAGGAGACTTTTCTCCTCAGAGGCCGCCCATGGCTCCCAGTGGGTGTCTCACACAGGGGAGACCAACTCATCTGGCACCCTAGAAACTCTCTTTCCCACAAAAAAGAATTGTATCTATATTTTATAGATGAAGAGACTGAGGTTGTAAAGACCAAGAGTCAGTGTTTTCCCAAAGTTTGCTGATAATAGTGTGTATTAATTTACTGCTTGGTAACTTATTTCTGTTTTATAGATTAGTATCTTCCTTCCCAGGATTTGTTGGAATTAAATAAGAATAGTGCATGCAGATTGCATAGTACAGTGTCAGGATGTAGAAAGCATTTAGGAGATATGGTTAGACATTTTACTTGGGTTATTTCTGTTTCGATGTGTTTTTCTGTCTGGGAGTAAACAGGTGGTTTAAGGAAAAATCTTGATTGCAGTAGAATTGACTTAGTCAAGGACGTATATTTCAAATGTGTGTTTAACAAGCTTGATATGATAAAAATAGATCCAATTCTTAGTTGCATGTGATTTTTGCTTTCCTCTGTAATATTTATTTGACTGTTTTAAAGAAATTATGGAAAACATTGACTTCTTTCCCAACTGTATTTCCCTGCAATTTGTTTGCAGTGGAACTGAATTTACTCTAAAGAGGAGGTATGTGGCTTGCATATCATTTTCAGTAATAGGAAGTGACATGAGCAAAATTGCAAGGAAACAGAGATTAGAGACCAGCCTTGAATAAATCCAGTATAAAAGTAGAATGCCTTAACATTTCTCCTAATTTCCTAAATTGTATTACAGCAGTATTTTTGACCTTGTAGGTGGTGGTCTCCTTTATTATTATTATTTTGTCTGGGGACATAGGAGATTTCTTGAGAAAGACCTTTAACTGCAGCTGTATGTGGTAATAAGTGTGTAGGGATTGCTGTCATTCTATTAGTAGAACATTCAGGAATGTGAATGCTTGATTTGCCAGTTTCCTTGGAAGTCGGTTGGAGTATTAGAATATTACTGTACACTATACCTGTGCCACTTTTATGTAAGCCTGTTAGAACTGGATTCTGGAAAACATTTATATTTGAGAAGTTAACTTATTCTTCCAAATATTAATTCATTCTGTATCTAGATATTTCAGACTTTTAGCAAAAATTTACCACTATGCATTTGCATAGAAGAAAAACTTTTAAAAATATGTGATGTAGTATAAACATCTGATTTATAAGTGAAGATAAAATTATTCTAGCTTATATATAACAACAACAACAAAGGGAAATTATTCTAGCAATCTCAAAAATTCTTATTGTATTTATTTATTTTTTGAGATGGAGTTTTCACTCTTGTCACCCAGGCTGGAATGCAGTGGCGCGATCTCCGCTTACTGCAACCTCCGTCTCCCTGGTTCAAGCGGTTCTCCTGCCTCAGCCTCCTGAGTAGCTGGGATTACAGGTGCCCACCACTAAGCACAGCTAATTTTTGTAATTTTAGTAGAGACAGGGTTTAGCCATGTTGGCCAGGCTGGTCACAAACTTCTGACCTCCAGTGATCTGCTCACCTCAGCCTCCCAAAATTCTGGGATTACAGGCATGAGCCACCATACCTGGCCTGCAATCTCAAAAATTCTTAAAGCTGACTGGTTCCTGAGACCTTAAGGAAACAAAAAAGCTATCAAAAATTAGTAAAGCTCCTTTTCTCCCACTTTTAACATACAAGAAATTAATAAAAGACAGAAATGAGGTGACATCTATGTGCCTTCAGGGTATTAAGAGCCCAGGGTAATAACCTACTTTAAAACAATGCTGTAAGGTTGAACATGACTAAACTTGTGCCAGCTTTCTTTTTCTTTCCTTTATGTTTTAGCCAACTCTATTGAGGTATAATTTGCATACAGTAATATTCACTAGTTTGAAGTGTGCATTTTGATTAGTTTCATAAACATACAGTTGTGAAAATGGCACCATCTTAATGTAGGACATTTCCATCATCTCAGAAAGTTCCCCTGTGCCTGTTAGCAATCAGTGCCTTTTCCTCATCACTGGTCTCAGGCAACAACTATTGCTCTGCTTTTTGTCACTTTCTGTAGCTGCTGCGTGGTCTAGAATTGTAAATAAATGGAATCATACTACATGCAGTCTTTTGTTTTGACTTGTTTCAGTTTGCATAATGCTTTTGAAATTCACGTTACATTTATCATGTTTGTTTCTTTTTATTGCTAAGTAAACTACAATTTAGTTTTTTACCTGTTAATAGATTTCTGGGTTGTTTCAAGTTTAGGGCTATTATGATTAAAGCTTTTATGAAGGTTTAAGTAAAAGTTTTTTTGTGGACAAATATTTTCATTTCTCGCAAGTAATACCTGGGAGTAGATTGATGAGTTGTATGGTAAGATTATGTTTAACTTCAGAAGAAACTGTCAAACCATTACCAGCAGGATGTGAGAGTTCCAGTTGATTTTACAGTATGTCTTTCCCCAACACTTGATGTTGTCAGTCATTTCAGTGGGTACTTAGTGGTATTTCATTATAGTTTTTTTTTGAGACGGAGTCTCACTCTGTTGCCCAGGCTGGAGTGCAGTGGCGCTATCTCAGCTCACTGCAAGCTCCACCTCCCGGGTTCACACCATTCTCCTGCCTCAGCCTCCCAAGTAGCTGGGACTACAGACACCCGCCACCACGCCCGGCTAATTTTTTTGTATTTTTAGTAGAGATGGAGTTTCACCCTGTTGGCCAGGATGGTCTCAATCTCCTGACCTTGTGATCCACCTGCCTCGGCCTCCCAAAGTGCTGGGATTACAGGCGTGAGCCACTGCGCCAGGCAGCCTTTTCATTTTTTAAGCAGCGTTTTTTGAGAGTAAATATTTTAAATTTTAATGAAGTACAGTTTTTCAATTTTTTCATTTACAGGTCTGTGTATATTCTGTATCCTGTAAGAATTTTTGCCTACCACAAGATCACAAAAATTTTCTCCTGTGTGTTTCTCTAGAACATTATAGTTTTAGCTGTTTATTTAGGTCTGTAATCCATTCTGAGCTAATTTTTATATATGGTAGGAGGTGGGAGTCAATATTCATTATTTGCGTATTCAAATAATGGGAATATGTAAATAATGCATATTGCAATAGGGAATAGAACACAAAAGCATGCTTTTTGTTGTTGTTGACTTTTAAAATATTGACCTACAATTTCCCGTAAGTTCACTTTTTAAAGTGCATTTGCATATTCAGCTGTTGCAGCACAATTTATGAAAAGACTTTCATTTTCCTCCATTGAGTTGCTTTGGCACCTTTATTGAAACTCAGTTGACCATGTATTTGCGTGTCTGTTTTTCGATTTTCAATTCTGTTCTGTTGATTTACATATCATTTTGTCAGTTCTGTATTAGCTTGGTTACGGCAGTCTTTTAGTAAGTCTTTAAAGGGAGGCAGTATGAATACTGCAACTGCTTTGGCTGTTTTAGTTACTTCCATTTCCATGTAAATTTCAGACTTGTCAATTTCGAAAACAACAACAACCTGAGATTTTGATTGAGAGCACATTAACTCTAATCAAACTGGTGAGAATTGATATAACAACATGGAGTTTTTAATCCCAAACAAGATTCATCTCTTTATTTAGATCTTTTTTAATTTCTTTAAACAGTATTTATCTCTCATGTTTTTGGAGGCTGTTGTATAGGGAATTGTATTTTTTCCATATACAACAATTGTATATTGTATACAAGTATACAAACAATTGGATATTTGTTCTGTATACAACCGATTGTATTTTTTCCAAATACAATGAAATTATATTTTATTTTATTTTTCAATTGTTCAGTGCTTGTATATAGAAATGTAATTGATATTTGTTATTAACTTTACGTGCTATAACCTTACTTGTTCTAATAGCACCTTTTTTTTTTTTAGATAGTGTTTACAGCTTCCTTTCCTTGTTCCCAATTTTGGGGGGAAACATTCAGTCTTTGACCATCAAGTACGATGTCAGTTGTAAGTTTTTAATAAGTGTTCATAATCGCTGAGGAAGTTCTTTCTATTGGCTTACTGGTAATTTTCATCATGAATTGGTGAATTTTATCAAATTCTTTTTCTCTATATTAAGATGGTGAAGTAACTAGTTTTTCTTTTTTTAGAATGTTAATATGGTAAAATACATTACTTTTTAAAAATGTAAACCATCCTTGCTTTTCTGGTATTAACTCTGTTTGGATGTTATATATTACTCATTTTTACATATTGCTGGACTCAATTTGGTAAAACACCTTTAAGCATTTTTTATGTCTGCATTAATGAAGTCTGTTGGTTTTAGTTTTTGTATGCTATTTTTATTTCTGGTGTTGGATTAATGCTGGTCTCATCAAATGAGTTGGGAAGGATTTTTCTTACAATGTTGAATCATTTTTATAGAATTAGTCTTATTTCTTTTAAGCCGTTTTAGCATCATTTGTTAGAATTAACCAGTGAAACCATCTAAGGCTCAGACAGGAAAACTGCAAAATGATACTGGATCATTTTGTGTCGTAAAGCAAACATGTGCTCCAGGACTAATGGAAACAAGTTAGAACAACACAAAAACTGGCTTGAAGGGATTCTCATTGGCCAAATTTGGAACATTTTGAACATCAAAAAAAAAAGTAATCAGTTATATTGGAAGAAAATATGAGTCCATAGTGATACTTAAACATGAAGAAGGTGGATGGAAATAAAAATGACATTACCAAAGAATGCCTTCTAGTAAATGTACAAGGAATGATTGAATTAGAAAGTTACCGTTTTACAACTGCCACTGTAATCATTGACTCAGGCAGGAATTGTCAATGGATGCTAAAAATTATTGGTAAAGATTATTGGGTATATGTGTACTATCTCAAAATTCTTTTTATGAATTATCTATTACAAAGGGAAAAATACATCTTTGTGATGCAAAGATCTGGTGGATACTACATTAAGCAAGTGATCCAATTTAATATCACCAGTAGTGACAAATTGAAATATCAGTCTCTTGTTAGGGTTGCATGTCATTTCTATATTATTCTTACCAAAAATATTTGCCCTGAATCTAATCATGAGGAAACAATAAAGCAAATCAAGATTGTGGGATATTCTGTAAAACACTAGGTCTTGATTCTCCAAAAATTATGTCATGAAAGACAAAAACTTTTGAGGGGGACTGTTGTAATTTAAAGGAGACTAAAGTGACAACCAAATATAATGCTGTAATGCATGATCCTTGATTGGATGCTGGACTGAAAAAAAAGGTTATAAAGGACATTTTGGGGTGGAAACTTAAATACCGACTGTATTTTTTAAATGTTATATGTCAGTATTAAAATGGTTGGCTGTGGTAATAAAATTGTGATTATGTAGGAGAATGTCTTTGTTCTTAAGGGATCTGTGCTGAAAGTATTTACTGGGAAGTGTTGTGGTGTCTGTAGCCTGCTTTCAAATGGTTTGACCATATATAGATACACACACACACACACACGCAGACATATATATATTTTTTTCTCATATATATGAGAGAGAGAGAAAGGGAGAATGTGCTGAAACAAATCTGATAAATACAGTTGTTTTAACTATTCTGTAGGTTAACCTTTTCTACAGTAAAAGGTGCGCCAAGAAAATACTTCCCTGTTTGAGAGTCAGGACCACAGTGGCTCTTCCAGGCCTTGACCATGGGGCTGAAGCAGTTGGTTCTTCAAACCTGTCCAGCTCTTCCCCACCTCCCCAGAGACACAGATGACCTTGTATCTTAGCTCATTGAAACAGACCCTCCAGCGTCAGCTCCTTCTATTTCTCCCTTCTTGTAACCTCAGTTTGTGTCTCCCCCCACGTTTCTTTACTTCAGTCTTCAGATAGAGCTTTTCTTCTCCTTTCTCTTCTCCTGTTTTCTTGACTTTCCAAGGCATCTACTTTAGAGTCTGGCTTCTCTCTGCCACTCAGAAACCTGTCTCAAGACTTACCAGTGGCTTCCAATTGGCCAACTCTGGTGGCTTATTTTCAAGTCTCTGCCCCTCTGTCCTCTTCTTTTCTCTGTGGGATAGTCTTTGACACTGTTGAGCCCTTTCTTGGCTTCCATGACACATGCCCTCTTCTGTTCCTCTTGCTCATAAACCTCCACTGTCAGTGCTCCACTGCTGCTGGAGGGAGGTTCTGCCCGTAATAAGTTGCAGAGCTCAGCCCTCTACCATTTCTTCCTTGATTTTTGAAAGCTGAGAGCTTCAGTTTCGTCCCTCTGTTGGTGTCCCTTTCCCCAAGTTCAAGTACTGTCTTGGAACTGCCTGCTTCAGCATTTTTCCTTGCATAGCTCATTGTTAACTCAGATCCCATTTATCTGAAGTTGAATTAAGCCTTTCCTTTCTTCATATGCCCCTTCAAATCTGGTCACTTGCCCTAGGCGTAACAGGCATTTAAATCACCAGCCTTCAAAGCTTGTGGGTATCATAAAATGCAGACTCCCAGGCTCAGTCTCAGAGAATGCGATTCAGTATGTCTGAATGTAGGCCCAGAATCTACCTTTTGCTGAGTACCAAGGCATTTTAATGCAGTGGTCCAAGAACTCCACTTTGAGAACAGCTACTTTAATGATTGGTTTCAGGGTTTGTTACTGTTCTACTTCACCATGGGCTTTCTCTGTCTTCAGGAAGCTGCACCTGTTGGGAGATTATTCTAAGTATTGGAAGGTCGTTGAGAGACAGCCTGAGCTTGAGCTTTGTAGAGATGCAGACCTGATCTGTCCTCTCATCTCTGCCACTTGCCAGAAGTTTGACCTTGGGCAAATTACTGGAAAATGGGAAAAATAGCACACAACTTCCAGGGTTTGGTGTGGATGGTGGCTCAGCTTCTGCCCCCCTCTCCAGCCTCTTCTTAATTCTCTTCAATGCTCCCCAGATTTCAGACCTATGAAATGACTTATCTTCTTAAAGAACCATGATTTTTCATACCTCAAATTCCTTTGCACTGTTGTGCTTTCTGGTAGGAATGCCCTACCTTAACCTCCGTGTTCACCTGACTCTTCCTTCAGACGTAACCACTCCATAAACCCTTGTGGCTGAATTTGGTGGTTTCAGTGCACCTGGAGCACCCAGTACTTGATTTATTCGTCTGTGTCTCATCTCAGTGTATGAGTTCCTTGAGGAGGTCCAGCCTTAGCCGTTAGCACTGTGGTTATGTGCAGTAGCTTTTAGTTAAAAGTTATCTTTTTTTTTTTGGAATAATCAAGGCACCTACTATGACATTAGCTAATTGTATTTCAGAGGCCTAGTTTTGAAACTTTCATTATTTGTCAACATACTTGGCAGCCATGCCAGCAGGTATAAGCTTTCCCGCATGTTTTCAAAACAGGAAACTTTTGTCCTTTGGAATAGAAGTTCTAACACTTGAGCACATTTTTTTTTTTAAACTAATGTCTTGAAGAGGTAACTTGTTTCTTTTTTTAAGTTTAGGTTTGCCTCATCCCACAATGAGATCATGAAATAACCTTGCCTCTCCCCATCCTATGAGTTAGCTGGTACTTTCTGTTTATAGTCAGTGGTCAGCACCAAAATAGTATCCCTTGAATTTCAAAGCAAGCCAGGACAGACTAGAAGTACATTAAAATTTGTGCCTGGTTACTAGAGGGGGAAAAATAAAATATATAATGTTGTTTCATATGTATGTAGTCAAAAGTAAAACATGTGACTAAATAAATTTTAAAAATAATAAACTAAAATTCATAGTAATGCTAAAATTTAGTTTATGTAAATCATTAAGTACCAGGCACAACAAAATTTTTGTTTCTTTGCTTTTTGTTTTTATGTAAACATTATTGTGCTTAGAAGTTGCCAAATTTGGTGTCTTTCAATTTTTTTCCTTTTGGAATAAATGTGAACAAAGTCTCACATTTATTCAAACATTTAACTTCATTTTAAAAATTATTGCTGTAGGATAACTTTTTTTTTTTTTTTTGAGACGGAGTCTCACGCTGTCGCCCAGCCTGGAGTGCAGTGGCGCGATCTCGGCTTACTGCAACCTCCGCCTCCCGGGTTCAAGCTATTCTCCTGCCTCTGCCTCCTGAATAGCTGGGACTACAGGCACATGCCACCACACCGGCTAATTTTTGTATTTTTAGTACAGATGGGGTTTCACCATGTTGGCCAGGCTGGTCTCAAACTCCTGACCTCAGGTGATTGCCTGCCTCGGCCTCCCAAACTGCTGGGATTACAGCCGTGAGCCACCGTGCCCAGCCGCTGTTGGATAATTTTTTAACTTAAAATTTATGTCAGAGATGGAGAATAAACTATTAAAGACTAATAGAGAATAAAATTTTTGGACCATGTATTTACAAAAGTCATGTTTAGTAGTAAAAAAAAAATCTAGTTTACACTACTTAATGAAAAAAGAGAAATATTTTTAAATATATATAACACATTCTCACTTTGACATAAATTTTTCTCTTTTTACCCCAGTTACTACTATGCCCAAGAAAATTTTCCAAACTTTAAGTCTTTTTTTTCTTTTACCACTTTGGAGTATGACCTGTTATTTATAAACTTTCCTTGAAAAAAAATCGAAATTTTAATTTGTACCCTGAAACTTTGATCAAAGTAATAGGAGATCAATACCACATGAGTTAAAGAATGGAGTAAAAATATAATTGTTCTCTGTATAATCAAGAAATTATCTGATGGGCCATTGTAACTATTTCACATTTCCATTTAGCAAGTTGGTTCCGAGATACAAAAATATTTGGCACTTTTTGGCTTGTGGATGTCCAGTTGCTCTAGCACCATTTATTGAAAATTGAAAAAATTCCTCCAGTGGATTATTTTCATACTTGTATCAAAATCAATTGGGCATATTTGTGTGGCTCTCTTTCTGGGTCATCTGTTCTATTCCATTAGTCTGTGCATGTCATTTTGGCAATGTCACACTCTCTCAGGTACTCTATTACTAGAATAATACTACCCTTACTCTTACTCTACCTTAATATTGGGGAAAGTAATTTCTGTCACTTTTTCCTTATTTCTCAAGATTGTTTTGACTATTTTAGGGTGTGTACCTTTGCATGCAAATTTTAGAATAAGCTAGTTTGTGTGTATGAAATATGTTGCTGAGATATTGATAGGAATTGCATTAAACCTGTATATTAATTTGGGGAGAATTGACATTTTTCCTGTGTTAAGTACTCTATTATATATGTTCATTTATTTAGGTTTTCTTTTTTTAATCAGCATTTAAAATTTTTTAGTATATAGATCCTGTACATAGCTTTCACTTTCCGGAGTGATTGCAAGTATTTCACTTTCCAGAGTGATTGTAAATGGTGTTTTGTTTTTTATTTTTTGGTTTCCATATGTTCATTGTTAGTATATAGTGTCTTGTTTTTAACTTTTTGGTTTCCATATGTTCATTGTTAGTATATAGAAATGTTATTGATTTTTGTGTGTTAATCTTATATCCTGCTTCCTTGCTGAACTTACTTATTCTAGAAGTTTTAGATGATTTTCACAGGTTCCTTTGGATTTTCCATGTAAACGATCGTATCATTTGCCAATACGGACAATTTTATTCTTCCTTCCTGATCTGTATGCATTTTATTTTCCTTGCCTTATTGCAGTATCTTAGAATTTCTAGTACTGTGCTGAAAAAAAGTTGTGGATCACCTTTTCCCAGTCTTAGGGGAAAACCATTCTTTCACCATTAAGGTATAGATTTTTGCAGATGCTCTTTGTCAAGTAAAGGAAGTTCCAGTTTGTTCCTATTTTAGTGAGAATTTGTATCATGATGAGATGTTGGATTTTGTCAAATGATTTTTTTTGCATCAATTGACATGATCATATGATTTTGTTATTTATTAGTATATTTGATTCCATTAATTTTTTTTCAAATGTTGATTCAGTCTTGCATATTTCGGATAAATTCTGCTTATGGTGTGTAGTCCTTTTTCTATATTACTAGATTCAGTTTGCTGGTATTTGTTTGAGGGTTTTTGCATCTAACTTAATAAGGAATAGTGGTCTATAGTTTTAAAAAAATTTTGCAATGGTTTTGTCTAGCTTTGATGTCAAGAGTAATACACTAGCTTCATTAGATGAGTTGGGAAATGTTCTTTGTTTTTTTAAACTAGATTATGTAAAATTGGCCCTAATTCTTTTTAAAATGTTTGGTAAAATTTTCCAGTAAAGCCATTTTGGCCTGGGAATTTCTTTTTTGGAGATCTTTCTCTTTTTTAGTTTTTTTTTTTTTTTTTTTTTTTGAGATGGAGTTTCACTCTTGTCTCCCAGGCTGAAGTGCAATGCCGTGATCTCAGCTGACTGCAACCTCTGCCTCCCGGGTTCAAGCAATTCTCCTACCTCAGCCTCCTGAGTAGCTGGAACTACAGGCGCACGCCACCACGCCCAGCTAATTTTTTGTATTTTTAGTAGAGATGGGTTTTCACCATGTTGGTAAGGCTGGTCTCGAACTCCTGACCTCAGGTGATCCACCCGCCTTGGCCTCCCAAAGTGCTGGGATTACAGGCGTGAGCCACTGCGCCCGGCTGAGATCTTTCTCTTCACAAATTCACTGTCTTTAATGGTTATGGGTATATGCAGGCCATTTCCTTCATCTTGGTTGAGCTTTGGTAGTTTGTGGTTTTTGAGGAATTGGTCCGTATTTTCAAAGTTGTCAAATTTATGAGCATAAAGTTATTCATTCTATGCCCTTAGTAATCTTCTAATGGCTATAGTATGAAGCTATCCCTTGTTTCATTCCTGATGGTTGTGCTTTGTGTCTTCACCTTTTTGTCAGTCTTGCTAGAGCCTTTTCAGTTTTGATTATTTTTCAGAGAACCAGTATTTGATTTCATTGATTTTTGTTGTTGTTATTTTCCTGTTTTCAATTTCATTGGTTTCTGCTCTTGTTTTTATAATTTTCATTCTACTTGCTTTGAATTTATTTTGCTCTACTTTTTCTAGTTTCTTAAAGTAGGGGACAGAGATTATTAATGTGAGACCATTTCCTCTTTTCTAATATAAGCGTCACTGTGACATAAGTGTTTCGGTCAGAACTGTTTTTTGATATTTTGCGTTTTTATTTTTATTTACGTATATGTATTTTTTGCTGTTCTATTGCTTTTTGGCCAATGATTTGTTTAGACATGTGGTATACAGAAGTGTTTGAAGATTTTTGTGTTATGTTTCTGTTACTGATTTCTAGTCTGATTACATTGTGATTGGAAATCATATGAACTTAAGGTTCACCAGCATTATAGTTGGAAAATGGAATAATTTTAATTATTTTAAAATAGTTGGGGTTTGTTTTATGACCCAGGGTATGGTCTGTCCTGGTGCATGGTCCACGGTAGCTTAAAGGGAATGAATATTCTGTTGTAGGGTGGAGTGTTCTGGAGATGTCTTTTAGATCCTGTTGGTTGATTGTTGTTCAGTTCTTTTCTGTCTTTGCTAATTTTCTTTTAGTTCTACCAGTTGCTGACAGTGAAGTGTTGAAATCTCCACCTGTAATTTAGCTTTATCAGTTTTTGTTTTATTATTTTGCAACTCTGTTGTTTGGTGCATTTACTTTTAGGAGCAGTATTTTTTTATTGATGGATTGATTTTTAAAGTATCGTTATGTAATGTCTTTGTCTCTAGTAATTTTCTTTCCTCTGAAATCTACCTTATCTGTGTTAACATAGCCATACCTGTTTTTAAAAAATAATGTTAGCATGATATATCTTTTAACGACCTTTTATGTAAAACTGATGTGTTTGAAATAAGTTTTATTAGACGGTATGTAGTTGGGTTTTGTCTGACTTTCATTAAGGTCTCTTTGCCTTCTCTGTTTTTTAAAATGCACTTTTCTGAAGTTATTTCATTTCCATACATTGAGCACAGCAGATGTTAAGTTTGTTTTAACCGTCAGTATGATTTAAGAAACTTGATGGAAAAGGATGGTCTCTTATATTTACCCCTTCCTTTGCTCTTGTTTCCTTTATGAAATTCCAAGCTGCCTTTTATTATTTTCTTTCTTTTTGAAGATACTCCTTTAGACCTTCTTTAAGCGTAGGCTTGGTAGTGACAAAATTTTTAATTTGCTAATACCTTTATGTTACCTTCTTTTTTGAAGGATAGCTTTGCTGGTTATAGCATTCATAATTAACAGTTTTCTGTTGTTTTTTGTTTGTTTTGTTTTTGTTTTAATGAGACAGGGTTTCACTCTGTCACCCAGGTAGGAGTACAGTGAGTGGCACAATCATGGCTCACTGCAGCTTGACCTCCTGGGCTCAAGCAATCCTCCCACCTCAGCCTCCTGAGTAGCTGGAACTACATATGCACAGCACCATGCCCAGCTAATTTTTAAAATTTTTTTGTAGTGATGTAGTCTCACTGTGTTGCCCAGGCTGGTCTCGAGCTCCTGGGCTCAAGTGGCCCTCCCGCCTCGGCCTCCCAAAGTGCTGGGGTTGTAGGCATGAGCTACCGTGCTGGGCCCACACAATTGACAGTACTTATGTTTCAGTTCTTATATTTCAGCATTTAAGAAATATGCCACTCCTTTTGCACTTTCATGGTTTCAGACTGAACACCAATTCGAATTGGTGTTCTAGTATAGGTAATGTGTCATTTTTCTTGGTTCCTTTTAAGACTTTTTGTCTTTAGTTTTCAGAAGTTTGTGATGTGTCTTGATATGAATTTCTTTGGGTTTATCCTATCTGGAATTCGCTCTGTAAGTTTATGTCTTTCACCAAATTTGGGAAGTTTTCCTGTATTAATTTTTCAAATCCTCCCTCAGCGTCACATTTTTTCTCCTCTCCTAATGTTAGATTTTTCATTATTGCCCTGGAGGTCCCTGAGGCTTTGTTCATTTTTTTGTTTCAGCCTACTTTTTCTGCAGCTGTTCAGACTGAACAATTCTTTTTTTTTTTTTTGGAGATGGAGTCTCGCTCTGTCACCCAGGCTGGAGTGCAGTGGCGTGATCTTGGCTCACTGCACCCTCCGCCTCCCGGGTTCAAGCGATTCTCCTGCCTCAGTCTCCCAAGTAGCTGGGATTACAGGCGTGCGCCACCACACCTGGCTAATTTTTGTATTTTTAGTAGAGATGGGGTTTCACCATGTTGGTCAGGCTGGTCTTGAACTCCTGATCTCGTGATCTGCCCGCCTTGGCCTCCCATAATGCTGGGATTACAGGTGTGAGCCACTGCGCCTGGCCGAAATTGAACACTTCTTTAGATCTGTCTTCAAGTTCACTGATCCTGTATGGTATTAAAGGACTCTAAAAGGTGGAAAGCGGGTGGACTGGCTAGGGGACGTTAGGACTTGAAACACACTGGACTGGAGTAATTTCCATGCATGTGTGTTGGGGCGGTGTGGTGTGTATGCGTGTTTGTGTTTTTCCCCCGTGTATCCCAGACTGGAGTGGAGTACAACTTGAAATTGCCAACAGGCATAAACAGCAACAAAAACAAAAAACAGAAAACCCTGTCCTCTCTGGCCAAAGGATCAGGAAAAGGGAAGCCCAGGAGGGACTTGCCAATGAGACATTTTACCCAGTGGCAGTAGCAGGCCTAGTCTGCCCACAACAGTGGCCCAGCAGAGATAGAGTGAGAAGCTTACCAGTGAGGTGACTGTAGAACAAGCCACGGGAAATGCTCTTATTCACCCCTCAGGTCTGGCAGTCCCCTACCCACTGGCCTAATCATACTGTGCAGCCTGAGGATGTGCCTTCCACCCCGCTGTGTGGCACCAGAAGCTATCCAGTGGGAGCTCCAGCAGAGCTAGAAGAATGAAGCAGACACATATTACCATCACAGGGGCTTACAAAACTCAATTGTCTTTGGAACTACAGACTACAAAAGTAGACCAGAACCTACACACCAAACCTAACTGACTCCATGTTTTTCTAACTTCCTTAAATCCTTATTTTCACTTAAAGGGATTTTTTTTTTCCTGTTACAATATGTCTGGTTGTGCTGAATGTGAGTCTGCACCATCAGTGAACTGTTGACTTATTCTGCTCTCTGCTTCTGTTCTCTGGTTCTATCATTTTAACTTTAAAATGTGCAACTCTGGTAAATCCCTAAAATTAACAGTGCATGTGTTCTGTAGGAAATGAGTTCCTCTTGGTTTGTTGGCTATTTCCAGCTTATTGTACTTTCTTTACTGCAAATTTAGGCTATTAAAAGGATATTAGTACCTGGAAACTAAGCTCGTTTTCCTCCTTTTAATCCTTATTGGCTAAAATATTAGTCATCTTTGGTTACAAGTTGATGGCTGAGCAGTTTTTCATTCCACAGTGTTGAGAAACTAGACTGGAATCTTGAGCTGATAAACCAGAATGCAGATGTGGTAGATATTGGAGTCTTGGAATCAGCAGACCCATGCCCTAGTTCTGGCTCTGAACTCATTCAACTTCTACATGATTTCTGAGAAACCCGTAATTAAAAAAAAAAAATTATTTCTAAGTCAGTGATGTTAACTGCTCTCCCAGTCTGTTGCTGCCTGAAGGGGAATATCCGGTAAAGAGACCCTGTCCTGATGCTCTTTGCCACAGAGTGTAGAGCTGCTAGCAGGGGGAGAAGCAAGTGTAGGGACATTAGGATCATGGCATACTGGAGAGAGGACTAGGGCTACAGAAGCCACAAGGACAGTCAGGGAGAGGAAAGGTGGAATGTCCATGAAACACAGCACTGCTATCTTCAAACTTTGACTGTTTTTAAATTGAAACATAGCTTATAATCAGTAGAGCACACACATCTTAGGTACGTAGCTTTTTAAATCTTTATATATGTATGTATTTGATTATAGTTAATGATTTTAACTATCATACAGACGAAAATGTAGACTATAAAGCCTTGCGAACACTTTTCATGGGGAAATACTTTTTTCCATTCACTGCTTTAATGAAGTGGTTAAATATTGGCTTGATAAGGTATCTATATGTATAGATGTATTTTTATTTTTTGTCTTGTGCTGAAATTTTGGATATTCTGTAAGAAAGACACGTAATGAGATTGGTAGCCATCATCCTCACAAAACATAGTGATGTGTTTCTCAGAAGGAGGATTTAGTAATGATAGGCCTTTGGGTTTGCAGGTACAAGAAATAAGGCAAGGAAAATGGTTGCAATTTTGGAGTAAGGCCTTCATGTAGTTGATGTGAGATGATGATTTGGAATCCTTCAGAAGCTATTGTATAAAAGTAACCAAAAGAAGCAAGCCCTGTGTGGGGTGTAAAAATAAATACTGACTTTTTTTTTTTTTTTTTTTTTTGAGACAGTCTCACTCTGTCGCCCAGGCTGGAGTGCGGTGGCATGGTCTCGGCTCACTGCAAGCGCTGCCTCCCAGGTTCATGCCATTCTTCTGCCTCACCCTCCCGAGTAGCTGGGATTACAGGTGCCCGCCACCACGCCCAGCTAATTTTTTTGTATTTTTTTTTTCAGTAGAGACGAGGTTTCACCATGTTAGCCAGGATGGCTCGATCTCCTGACCTTGTGATCCACCCGCCTCGGCCTCCCAAAGTGCTGGGATTACAGGCGTGAGCCACCACGCCTGGCCTTGACTTTTAATAAACAGATTTATTGAGGTATAATTAATGTACAATAAACTGCACACATTTAAAGTGTACAGTTTGAGTTATGGCCCATGTGAAACTATTACCATAGTGAAGATTGTGTGAACGTGTGCACTCTCTATTTCCTTGTGACCCTTTGTAGAATTTTCTTACCTCCCTTCCTAATCCCAGGCGACAGTTCTTCTGCTTTCTGTCACTTAGATTAGTTTGCATATTATACAACTTTGTATAAGCAGAATCATACAGTATTTACTCTTCTGTTGTCTCCCTTCTTTCACTCAGCATGATTATTTTTAGATTTGTCTGTAATGTTGCATGTTTGACTGTTTTAGTACTGCATAGTATTCCACTGTGTTGCTGTATCACAATTTGTTTATCCACCCACCCGTTGATGGGAATGTGAGTTGTTTCCTCTTTTGAACTATTACAAATAAAGCTTCCCTAAATATTCATGTACAAGTCTTTCATTTTCATTCACACATACGTTTCATTTCAGTTGGGCAAATACCTAGAAATGGAATGTCTGGTGGGTTATGTGTTCAACTTTTTCAGAAACTACTGGCCTGGCACGGTGGCTCACGCCTGTAATCCCAGCACTTTGGGAGGCCGAGACGGGCAGATCACGAGGTCAGGAGATCGAGACCATCCTGGCTAACATGGTGAAACCCCATCTCTACTAAAAATACAAAAAATTAGCCGGGCGTGGTGGCGGGTGCCTGTAGTCCCAGCTACTTAGGAGGCTGAGGCAGGAGAATGGCTTGGACCTGGAAGGCGGAGCTTGCAGTGAGCCGAGATCACACCACTGCACTCCAGCCTGGGCGACAGCGCGAGGCTCCGTCTCAAAAAAAATAAATAAAAAAAAAAGAAACTACTGACATGTTATCCAAAGTGGTTGCACCATTTTATATTCCCGTTAGCAGGGTATTACAGTTCCACTTCCTGCACATCCTTGCCAACACCTGATATGGTAAGAAGTTTTCATCTTAATCATTTTATTGGTTATGTAGTGGTGTCTCCTGGTGTTTTAATTTTTATTTTCCTAATGACTAAGGATTTTGAGCATCTTTTCATGTGCCCTCTTATTTCATGTGCTATTCATGTTGTCTTTGCTTAAATGTCTGTTCACATCTTTTTTGCATTTTTTTAAATTGAGCTGTTTGTTTTCTTATTTAGTTGTAACAGTTATTTACATATTCTGGATACAAGTCCTTTGTCAGATAAGCATTTTGCAAATATTATTTCCAGTCTGTGGCTTGTATTTTTACTTTTGTAACAGTGTCTTTTGAGGAGTAAAAGCTAAAAAAAAAATTTTTAATCCACCTCTCAATTCATCTTTTTTTCTTTTATAGTTCAAGATTTTTTTCTTTTTTGTATCCTACTTAAGAATATCTTTGCCAAACTCAAGATCACTAAAATTTTCCCGTGTTGATTTCTAGGAACTTTAGAATTTTAGCTCTTACATAAATTCTGTTATTCATTTCAAGTTGATTTTTGTAAATTTTGGAGCATCCAGATTCTCTTTTGTTTTTCTTTCCCATGTGGCTATTCATTTGTACCAGCATGACTTATTGAAAAGATTACTTTTCCCCAATTGAATTGCCTTGGCACCCTGTTGCAATCAGTTGACCATATATGTGGGGGTCTACTTTTGGAGTCTCTGTTCTATTTCACACATCTGTTATCTGTGTCAGTTTTATACCATCTTGATTACTATGATTTTAAGTCTTAAATCAGGCAATGTTGAGTCCTCCAATCTTGTTCTTCTTTTTCAAAATTCTTTTTACTATTTTGGGTCCTTTGCTTTTCTGTATAACTTTTAGAATCATCTTGTAAATTTTTACAACAAAAAACTTGATTGGAATTGTATTGACTGTCTAGATCAATTTGGGGAAAATTGCTGTAACAATATTGGTTCTTTTGATGCATGAACATGGTATATCTTTCTTTTTATTTAGGTGTTCTTTAATTTCTTCCAGCTGTATTTTGTCAAATATTTATCTTAGTATTTTGATGCAATTGTAAATGGTTTTGATTTTTATTTTCCAGTTGTTCCTTGCTGTTATTAGAAATATGATTGATTTTTATATGTTGGCCTTGCATTTTCCTACTTTCCTAATCTTACTACTTTCCTATATCCTGTATCACCTGTAAAAATTGTACCAGAATCAAAAAAATTCTAGTAGAATTTTTATAGGTGTTATAGGAGATATCATGTCTGTGTCTAAAGACAGTTTTATTTTCTCTTTTCCAGTCTACATACTTTTTTTTTCTTTGCGTTTTATTGGCACGAAGATTGCCCTCTTACCTTCATTTATTCTTTCACTATGATGTTAAATAGGAGTGGTGAGAAGGAACAATCTTACCTTGTTCTAATCTTAAATGGAAAGTATTTAGTCTTTCACCATTAAGTATGATGATAGCTGTATATCTTTTGTACATGTCTTTTATCAGCTTAAGGAAGTTCTTTTTGTGCCCATTTTGCCAAGATCTTTTACCATGAATGGATGATGAATTTTGTCCAATGTTTTTTGTCTGTTTTTTGAAATGATTAATTTTGTTTTTTAAGTCTTATATGTTGAAGTTTTTTTTTTGAATATTTAAACAGTATTTCATTCCTGGGATAAATCCCACTTGGTCATGATGTTTTTATCTTTTTTATACATTAATGGATTACATTTGCTGAAATTTTGACAAGAATTTTTGCATCTGTAATAAGATGTGAAATTGGTCTGTAGTTTTTTTGTTTTAATACCCTTATTTGTTTTGGGGATCAGAGTGATGCTGGCTTTGTAAAATGAGTTTGGAGAGTTTCTCCTGTTTCTGGGAGAGTTTGCGTATGATTTTTTTTTTCCCCTTAAATATTTGGGAGAACTCATCGTTAAATACATCTAATCCTGGAGTTATCTTTGTGAGAAGATTTTAACTACAAAATAAGTTTCTTAAGTACATATAAGCCTATTCAAGTTAGCTAGTTTTTTGTGAGTGACCTTTGGTATTTTGAGTCTTTGAAGGAATTTGTCCGTATCATAAACTGAGAGTTGTTAATTATATTTGCTGATTAGTCTTCTAATGTTTATAGAAAGTATAGTCGTATTCAGTCTCTCATTTCTTATGTTCACAATACCTGGCTTCTCTTTTTTCAAACTGACTAGCTAGATGTTTATCAATTTTGTTAATCTTCCCAAACAGAAAACTTTTGTTTCCTTCGATTTTTCTCTATTTTCTGCTTTCTACTTTATTGATTTATATTCTTTATTATTTCTTTTCTTTTTTTATTAAAAAACAAGATATGGATTACTTATCTAATATTTAGAATGTGATCTTATAGATTATATATGAGTATGCAATATAGATAACTGTATGGATATACCATATTTCCAATCATAAATATTATATTACAAGATGTAATGCAAGATAAAATCCCTGCACAATAGCTGTGTTGGCATAAGCATCATTTTAACTGAGTGTTTTAAGATGGTTGTAATACCACTGAGTGTTTTAAGATGGCTATAATACCACTGTAGTCACAGACATGTCAGCAGCATGTTCTTGGCACATTTAATCTGTGGCTACAGTAAGGATACCAACCTCCTCTGTAATCAGTATTTCCAACTTAGCATAATTTAAGTGAATTTACAATTGCTTGATGTATATCTTTTTAAAAGAGTGAATGTGTTCAAACGTTGAGATTTTTAGAAGTCTTACAGTAGTGGTTTTCTTTTTTCAAATTTTTGGCATATATTCAAACTTTCAGAAAATTTTTAAGAATGAAAATAGTCAAAAACATTCATATTCTTTACCCAGATTCACCTGCTGTTGACAGTTTGACCCATTTGCTTTATCATTTGCTGTTTTCTCCTCCCCGTGCACAATCTAATGAATGAATTTGTATCCATGAAAGAACTATAAGCTTAAAGCTCTTGAGCAGAGATTACATTTTGTCCTCTGGTTACACAATATTTAAAATACCATTTAGATAAACATTTTAGAAAAGATTTAGGGAATAGAACACAAAAGCATGCTTTTTGCTGTTGTTGACTTTTAAAATATTGAGATACAATTTCTCATATCATACTTCACCTTTTAAAGTGTATAATTCAGTGGGTTTTTGAAGTATACTCATAGACTTGTACAACCATCACAACTGTCTCATTCCAAAATATTTCCATCACCCCAAAAGAAATCCTTTATACAATAGGAGTCACACCCTATTCCTTCCCAGCCCCTGACAACTGCTAATCTAGGTTCTTTTTGCCTATTCTGGACGTTTCCTATAAATGGAATACTAAAATATATGGCCTTTTGTATCTGGCTGCTTTCACTTAGCATTAGTCCTCAAGATTCATCTGTGAGCTTTGTGTCAGTACTTCATTCCTTTTTGTTGTGGCTGAAAAATACTCCATTAAATGGATTTACCACATTTTGTTAACTGCTCATTAGTCAGTGGACATTTAGGTTGTTTTCATTTTTGACTATCATGAATTTGAACAATGCTATTATGAACACTGGTATATAAGTTTTTGTTTGCACAAGTATTTTCGGTTTTCTTATGTATATACATAAGAGTATAATTGGTATATTGTATGGTAACTTTATATTTAGTTTTTTTAATAACTACCCAACTGTTTTCCAGTGTGGCTGCTCCATTTTATGTTACCACCAGCGACTTAGGCGTTTTCGATGTCTCCACATCCTCATCAATGCTTATTGTTGTCTTTTTTATTACAGCCATCCTTTTGTTTTTGAAGCAGTATGTTGTTTTGCTTTTGATTAACATCTGTCTAAGGACTGGTTTTGAGCGTCTTTTCGTGTATGTATGTATTATTGTCCGTTTATGTATCTTTGGAGAAATGTCTAGTCAGTTTCCTTGTCCATTTTTTGATTGGGAGGTTTGTCTTTTATTCATTGCAAGAGTTCTTTTTATATTCTCTGTATGTATCTCTTATCAGATACATCATTTGCAGAAATTTTCTCCCATCCTGTGGGTTGTCTTTTCACTTTATTGATAGTGCCCTTTGAAGCACAAACTGTTTTAATTTTGATAAAGTCTAATTTATCTGTGTTGTCTTTGCTTACCTATTCTAGTTAAGAAACCATTGCCTCATCAGAGGTTATGAAGATTTACATCTATGTTATCTTCAAAAGTTTTATAGCTTTATCTCTTACACTGAGGTCTTTGTTCCTTCTGGATTTAATTTTTGCATATGTTGTTAGGCAGGGTCCGTCCTCATTCTTTTCCAAGCAGATACCTAGTTATTCCAGTGCCAGTTGTTGAGAAGATTGTTCTTTTCTCCTCTGAGTTATCTTGGCATTCATCAATTGAGTGCCGAAATCAATTGGCCATAAATGCGAGGGTTTGTTTCTGGACTGTCAGTTCTATTCTGTTTGATCTATTTGATTAGGTTTATCTTTTATTTATTTATTTATTTTTATTTTTAGTCTGAGTCTTGCTCTGTCGCCAGGCTGGAGTGCAGTGGCGCAATCTTGGCTCACTGCCACCTCTGCCTCCCAGGTTCAAGCAATTCTCCTGCCTCAGCCTCCCAGGTAGCTGCGACTACAGGCGCGCACCACCATGCCCAGCTAATTTTTGTATTTTTAGTAGAGATGGGGTTTCAGCATGTTGGCCAGGATGGTCTTGATCTCTTGACCTCATGATCTGCCTGCCTCGGCCTCCCAAAGTGCTGGAATTACAGACGTGAGCCACTGTGCCCAACCTTGATAAGGTTTATCTTTATTCCAGTACTGTTCTGTCTTGATTAATATACCTTTGTAGTTAAGTTTTGAAATCGGGAAGTTTTGAGTCCTCCATTGTGTCTTTCTTTTTCAAAACTGTTTTGGCTATTCTTGAATATTCTTATGAACTTCAGGAGCCACTTGTCGATTTGCAAAAGAGCAAGGTGAGATTTTGACAAGATTGCGTTGGATCTGAATATTACCATTTTAACATTATTAAGTATTCTAGCTTATGAATACCAGATATCTTTCTATTTAGGTCTTTTAAAATTTTTTTCAGTGATGCTTTGTAGTTCACAGTGTACAAGTCTTGTACTTGTTCGAGATGTATAATCCTTTGTATATGTTTCTAGATATGATTTGCTTGTATTTTGTTGAGAATTTTTATATCCACATTCATAAGAACATCTGTAGTTTTCTTTTCTTGTGATGACCGTGTCTGATTTATGTATCAGGGTATGAATTGCTTCATATAATAATTTGGAACGTGATGTTTTCTCTTGAGTTTTAAAATTTTTGTTACTTAAATTTTTTTAGAGACAGGGTCTTGCCTTGTTGCCCAGGCTGGAATGCAGTGGTACAGTCATAGCTCGCTGTCACTTCAGACTTCTGGGTTTAAGCAATCTTTCTGCCTCAGCCTCCTGAGTAGTGGGAATACAGGCATGCACCACCACACCCAGCTCTTTCTTTCTTTCTTTCTTTCTTTCTTTCTTTCTTTCTTTCTTTCTTTCTTTCTTTCTTTCTTTTCTTTTCTTTTCTTTTCTTTTCTTTTCTTTCTTTTCTTTCTTTTCTTTCTTTTCTTTCTTTCTTTCTTTCTTTTTTTTTGTAGCCATGGTATGTTGCTATGTTGCCCAGGCTGGTGTTGAACTCCTAGGCTCAAATGATCCTTCAGCCTCAGCCTCCTAAAGTGCTGGGATTACAGCCGTTCCCCATGCCCAGCCTGTTTTTTGTCCTTCTTTATGCTTTTTAAAAAAAGCTTGTGAAGGATATGTTTTAATTCTTCTTTAAATGTTTAGTAGAATTCATCAGTGAAGCCACCTGTCCCTAGGCTATTCTTTGCGGGGAAACTTTGATGGCTAATTAGGTTTGTTAAGATTTTCTGTTTATTTTGGAGTTAATTTCAATAATTTGTGCTTTCTAGTTATTTGTTCATTTCATGTAGGCTGTCTAATTTGTTTGTGTATAGTTGTTTCTTGTGTTCTCTTTTAATCCCTTTTACTGTAAGATTGGAAAGTTCATTTCTTTTTGTAGCATTAGTAATGCTCCCTGTTTCTTTCTTTTCTTTTTTTTTGTATTTTTTTTTTTTAAATTATACTTTAAGTTCTAGGGTACATGTGCACAACGTGCAGGTTTGTTACATATGTATACATGTGCCATGTTGGTGTGTTGTACCCGTTAACTCGTCATTTACATTAGGTATTTCTCCTAATGCTATCCCTCCCCCCTCCCCCCACCCCATTGACAGGACCCGGTGTGTGATGTTCCCCACCCTGTGTCCAAGTGTTCTCATTGTTCAGTTCCCACCTATGAATGAGAACATGTGGTGTTTGGTTTTCTGTCCTTGTGATAGTTTGCTCAGAACGATGGTTTCCAGCTTCATCCATGTCCCTACAAAGGACATGAACTCATCCTTTTTAATGGCTGCATAGTATTCCATGGTGTATATGTGCCACATTTTCTTAATCCAGTCTATCACTGATGGACATTTGGGTTGGTTCCAAGTCTTTGCTCTTGTGAATAGTGCCACAATAAACATATGTGTGCATGTGTCTTTATAGCAGCATGATTTATAATCCTTTGGGTATATACCCGGTAATGGGATGGCTGGGTCAAATGGTATTTCTAGTTCTGGATCCTTGAGGAATCGCCCCACTGTCTTCCACAATGGTTGAACTAGTTTACAGTCCCACCAACAGTGTGGAAGTGTTCCTATTTCTCCACATCCTCTCCAGCACCTATTGTTTCCTGACTTTTGAATAATCACCATTCTAACTGGTGTGAGATGGTATTGCATTGTGGTTTTGATTTGCATTTCTCTGATGGCCAGTGATGATGAGTATTTTTTCATGTATCTGTTGGCTGCATAAGTGTCTTCTTTTGAGAAGTGCCTGTTCATATCCTTCGCCCACTTTTTGATGGGGTTGTTTGATTTTTCCTTGTAAATTCGTTTAAGTTCTTTGTCGATTCTGGATATTAGCCCTTTGTCAGATAGGTAGATGGTAAAAATTTTCTCCCATTCTGTAGGTTGCCTGTTCACTCTGATGGTAGTTTCTTTTGCTGTGCAGAAGCTCTTTCATTTAATTAGATCCCATCTGTCAATTTTGGCTTTTGTTGCCATTGCTTTTGGTGTTTTAGTCATGAAGTCGTTGCCCATGCCTATGTCCTGAATGGTATTGCCTAGGTTTTCTTCTAGGGTTTTTATGGTTTTAGGTCTAACATGTAAGTCTTTAATCCATCTTGAATTAATTTTTGTATAAGGTGTAAGGAAGGGATCCAGTTTCAGCTTTCTACATATGGCTAGCCAGTTTTCCCAGCACCATTTATTAAATAGGGAATCCTTTCCCCATTTCTTGTTTTTGTCAGGTTTGTCAAAGATCAGATGGTTGTAGATGTGTTGTATTATTTCTGAGGGCTCTGTTCTGTTTCATTGATCTATATCTCTGTTTTGGTACCAGTACCATGCTGTTTTGGTTACTGTAGCCTTGTAGTATAGTTTGAAGTCAGGTAGTGTGATGCCTCCAGCTTTGTTCTTTTGGCTTAGGATTGTCTTGGCAATGTGGGTTCTTTTTTGGTTCCATATGAACTTTAAAGTAGTATTTTCCAATCCTGTGAAGAAAGTCATTGGTAGCTTGATGGGGATGGCATTGAATCTGTAAATTACTTTGGGCAGTATGGCCATTTTCATGATACTGATTCTTCCTATCCATGAGCATGGAATGTTCTTCCATTTGTTTTTGTCTTTTTTTTTTTTTTTTGAGATGGAGTCTGGCTCTGTCGCCCAGGCTGGAGTGCAGTGCCACGATCTTGGCTCACTGCAAGCTCCGCCTCCTAGGTTCACGCAATTCTCCTGCCTCAGCCTCCCAAGTAGCTGGTACTAACAGGCGCCTGCCACCACACCCGGCTAAGTTTTTGTATTTTTAGTAGAGACGGGGTTTCACCACGTTAGCCAGGATAGTCTCGATCTCCTGACCTCGTGATCCGCCCGTCTTGGCCTCCCAAAGTGCTGGGATTACAGGTGTGAGCCACCACGCCAGGCCGTTTGTGTCCTCTTTTATTTCACTGAGCAGTGGTTTGTAGTTCTCCTTGAAGAGGTCCTTCACATCCCTTGTAAGTTGGATTTCTAGGTATTTTATTCTCTTTGAAGCAATAGTGAATGGGAGTTCACTCATGATTTGGCTCTCTGTCTCTTATTGGTGTATAGGAGTGCTTGTGATTTTTGCACATTGATTTTGTATCCTGAGACTTTGCTGAAGTTGCTTATCAGCTTGAGATTTGGGGCTGAGATGATGGGGTTTTCTAAATACACAATCATGTCATCTGCAAACAGGGACAATTTGACTTCCTCTTTTCCTAATTGAATACCCCTTTATTTCTTTCTCCTGCCTGATTGCTTGGCCAGAACTTCCAACACTATGTAGAATAGGAGTGGTGAGAGAGGGCATCCCTGTCTTGTGCCAGTTTTCAAAGGGAATGCTTCCAATTTTTGTCTATTCGGTATGATACTGGCTGTGGGTTTGTCATAAATGGCTCTTATTATTTTGAGATATGTCCCATCAATACCTAGTTTATTGAGAGTTTTTAGCATGAAGGGATGTTGAATTTTGTCAAAGGCCTTTTCTGCATCTATTGAGATAGTCATGTAGTTTTTGTCTTTGGTTCTGTTTATATGATGGATTACGTTTATTGATTTGCGTATGTTGAACCAGCCTTACATCTCAGGGATGAAGCCAACTTGATCTTCGTGGATAAGCTTTTTGATGTGCTACTGGATTCAGTTTGCCAGTATTTTATTGAAGATTTTGCATCGATGTTCATCAGGGATATTGGTCTAAAATTCTTTTTTTCCTGTGTCTCTGCCAGGCTTTGGTATTAGGATGTTGCTGGCCTCATAAGATGAGTTAGGGAGGATTCCCTCTTTTTCTGTTGATTGCAATAGTTTCAGAAGGAATGGTACCAGCTCCTCTTTATACCTCTGGTAGAATTCGGCTGTGAATCTGTCTGGTCCTGGACTTCTTTTGGTTTGTAGGCTATTAATTATTGCCTCAGTTTCAGAGCCTGTTATTGGTCTATTCAGGGATTCAACTTCTTTCTGGTTTAGTCTTGGGAGGGAGTATGTGTCCAGGAATTTATCCATTTCTTCTAGATTTTCTAGTTTATTTGCATAGAGGTGTTTATAGTATTCTCTGATGGTAGTTTATTTCTGTGGGATCGGTGGTGATATCTCCTTTATCATTTTTTATTGCGTCTATTTGATTCTTCTCTTTTCTTCTTTATTAGTCTTGCTAGAGGTCTATCAATTTTGTTGATCTTTTCAAAAAACCAGCTCCTGGATTCATTGATTTTTTGAAGGGTTTTTTTTGTCTGTATCTCCTTCAGTTCTGCTCTGATCTTAGTTATTTCTTGCCTTCTGCTAGCTTTTGAATGTGTTTGCTCTTGCTTTTCTAGTTCTTTTAATTGTGATGTTAGTGTGTCAATTTTAGATCTTTCCTGCTTTCTCTTGTGGGCATTTGGTGGTATAAATTTCCCTCTACACACTGCTTTAAATGTGTCCCAGAGATTCTGGTATGTTGTGTCTTTGTTCTCATTGGTTTCAAAGAACATCTTTATTTCTGCCTTCATTTCGTTATGTACCCAGTAGTCATTCAGGAGCAGGTTGTTCAGTTTCCATGTAGTTGAGCGGTTTTGAGTGAGTTTCTTAATCCTGAGTTCTAGTTTGATTGCACCATGGTCTGAGAGACAGTTTGTTATAATTTCTATTCTTTTACATTTGCCGAGGAGTGCTTTACTTCCAACTATGTGGTCAATTTTGGAATAAGTGCGATGTGGTGCTGAGAAGAACATATATTCTGTTGATTTGGGGTGGAGAGTTCTGTAGATGTCTATTAGGTCTGCTTGGTGCAGACCTGAGTTCAATTCCTGGATATCCTTGTTAACTTTCTGTCTCATTGATCTGTCTAATGTTGACAGTGGGGTGTTGAAGTCTCCCATTATTATTGTGTGGGAGTCTAAGTCTCTTTGTAGGTGTCTAAGGGCTTGTTTTGTGAATCTGGGTGCTCCTGTATTGGTGCATATATATTTAGGATAGTTAGTTCTTCTTGTTGAATTGATCCCTTTACCATTATGTAATGGCCTTCTTTGTCTCTTTTGATTTTTGTTGGTTTAAAGTCTGTTTTATCAGAGACTAGGATTGCAACCCCTGCTTTTTTTTGATTTCCATTTGCTTGGCAGATTTTCCTCCACCCCTTTATTTTGAGCCTATGTGTGTCTCTGCAGGTGAGATGGGTTTCCTGAATACAGCACACTGATGGGTCTTGACTCTTTATCCAATTTGCCAGTCTGTGTCTTTTAATTGGAGCATTTAGCTCATTTACATTTAAGGTTAATATTGTTATATGTGAATTTGATCCTGTCATTATGATGTTAGCTGGTTATTTTGCTCGTTAGTTGATACAGTTTCTTCCTAGCCTTGATGGTCTTTACAATTTGGCATGATTTTGCAGGTGGCTGGTACCGGTTGTTCCTTTCCATGTTTAGTGCTTCTTTCAGGAGCTCTTGTAAGGCAGGCCTGGTGGTGACAGAATCTCTCAGTATTTGTTTGTCTGTAAAGGATTTTATTTCTCTTTCACTTACGAAGTTTAGTTTGGGTGGATATGAAATTCTGGGTTGAAAATTCTTTTAAGAATGTTGAATATTGGCCCCCACTCTCTTCTGGCTTGCAGAGTTTCTGCAGAGAGATCCGCTGTTAGTCTGATGACCTTCTCTCTAGTTGTTCTACCCATGTTTGAAAGTGGGATATTGAATTCTCCAAATATTTTTATTGAATTTCTTCTTTATCCCTTCATCCTGCATGTTTTTATTTCCTGTGTTTTGGAGCTCTCTTGTTAGGTTCACGTATGTTTATAATTATGTCATCTTAATGGAGTGATCCCTTTATTATTATTAAATGTCTTTTTTCCTCTTGTAGCAATTTTTATCTTAAAGTCTGAATTTTTAAAATTTATTTTTTAATAGTTGCTGTGAGAATTACAATTAACATCAACTTGTAATAGTTTAGTTTGGACTAATGTCACCTATTCTTCAAATATTCTTCATGCCTTTTTTTCTCTCCTCTTCTGAGACTCCTGTTGTACAGATGGTGTTTTGTAGTCACTCAGGCTCTTTTCATTTTTCTTCATTTTTATTTCTGTTTCCCAGACTGGATAATCTTAACCAACCTATTTTTGAGTTTGCTGATTCTTTCCTTTGCCTGCCAAAATATGCTATTGAGCCCCTCTGATGAATTATTTTAGTTATTGTACTTTTATGTCCAGAATTTCAATTTGCTTGTTTTTTCCAGTTTCTTTCTCTTTATTGATATTTTCTGTTTGGTGAAGCGTTGTTCTCATACTTTAGTTTTGCACGTGGTTTCCTTTTTTCCTTTGAACATATTTAAAATAGCTTATTTAAAGTCTTCTAGTAAGTCCTGTCCTCAGGGACCATTACTGTTGATTGCATTTTTTCCTATGTATGAGCCATACTTTCTTGTTTCTTTAAATTTATTTGAAAACTGGGCAGTGGGAGGGGCTCATTTCAGTTACTGTGCTTTTCTATTTGGTTATTTTAATAATTTCTTTCTCTTCTTAATATTCTCCATTTGGTGTGACTTTTAGTTCTTTGGACATTATTTCCTTTAGTTCTTTGAATATATTTAATATAGCTGAATTAAATTATTCAGTAATTCTAAAACCTGGGCTTTCTCAAGGGCAGTTTCTATTAAATACTTTTTGTCCCTTTATACTTTTTTGTTTCTTTGTATGTCTCTCAATTTTTTGTTGAAAACTGGACAACTAACATATAAGGTGGCAACTCTGGAAATTAGATTTTCCCCTCCCTAAGGTTTGTTGTTGTTTTTGTTGCTGTTTGTTTAGTGGCTTTCTGAACAAGTTATTTTAAATCTATATTATTTGTGGTGCATGGCTACTGAAGTCTCCGTGTGGTGAGCTTCATAGTCATCTAATGATTGAACAGAGATTTCCTTAAAAACCTGGAACCAGTAATTCTCCCCATCTTTGTTGAGAGGCCTGTGTATTTGCGTACATATGTGTGTGTTGGGGCACATCAAAACACTCAGCCGGGCAGTTGACAGCTGTTCCTTAGCCTTCCCCTCCTGTTTACACAAAGCCTGGGGTCAGCCCCAGGTGTGAGAGCTTAGGGATGTCTCAGGTTTCTTCTGAGCACAGGCAGAGCCAGAGCCCGATGCGTACACAGGACCTTCTAGATTGGCAGGAAGGTGTCAACACTTTTTACAGCCCCTGTGGACATCTTATTCCCAACTTTTCCTTTTAAACTTTTGGGTCTGCTTATTGTTTGGCCCAACTGTCATCTACCACATTGTTCTGCAGCCAAATTTTTAAAAATTTCCCCTAAAGGTTTTTGACAACTGTTACCAGGGTCGAGGCTTTTCACAGTGGGAAAGCTCTGAGTCAGGTCAAATAAAAGTAGCCTTCCAGGTGGGGCCTCACTGGGACTCACCACACAGATCAGATAAAGACAGTTCTCTGGAAATCAGGCTTTCGAGGAGCTGCAGCATTGTTCTGCCACCCTTATTGCCTGTCAGGCTGCTGATTTTCACTGTGATTGGGCTGTTGGTTATAGTGCTGTCACAGAGCTGGAGAGAAGAGAATGAGAATAGAAAAGTTAAATGCCACATATTTCACTGTTCTTGTTGAGATTCAGCTTTTTAAAAATGTATTAACATTCCATGGATTGCTGCAAGCTTTTGGAGATTGCTGCAAGCTTTTGGTTAATTGCCAGAGTTCTTAGAAAGTTTATTCTGATGCTGCCAATTTTCTTGTTCTTGTTAGAATTTTCAAATGTCCCTAACTTTGCCATTTTCACTGACAGTACCTCTGTTGCTTTTTTTTCTTCTTCTGTGCTATTTTGTTTCTTCAAACTATTCTCAACTTTTGCTGTCAAAACCAGTTGATTGAATTAACATTGATAATGGCATGTAGGTCCTGAAATTAAATTTCATTATCTTAATATTATAAATATTAACCCATTTAAGAATCACTATTACAAAAACATTTTGAAGATAAACTATTGAGCAGGTAGAACTAATTACCAGAATTTATCATTAGCTATTTCATTTTTTAATACAGATTCTTATTGAGATCATTTTAGAATCATACACTGTTATAAGAAGTTATACAGAGAGATCCTGTGTAGCCTGTACCTGGTTCCTCCCAATGGCAATATCTTGACAAAGAATACTACAAAGTCACAACCAGGATGTTGATCTTTTGATAGGAATGGGTATTTCATTTTCACCATCCTGATATTGTGGCTTTCATTACCATTTCCCTGATGGTTAATGATGTTGAACATCTTTTCACTTGCTTATTGGATTGTTCTTTTCTGTTTGTTTTTGAGTTCTTTATATAGCCTAGATCTTTAGACTTTTGTTAAATATGTAGTTTGCAAATATTTTATACCTTTTCGTAGTTTGTCCTGTCCTACTCTTAACAGGGTCATGTGAAGGGCAAAGTTTTTAATTTTGAATGAGGTACAACAATTTATCATTTTTTTTTTCTGGATTGTGCTTTTGGTGTCAACTCTAGGAACACTGCCAAACCTTAGATCCTGAAGATCTTCTCTATCCTTTTTAAAAAGTTTTATAGTTTTACATTTTAAATTTAGAGCAGTGATGTATTTTGAGTTAATTTTTGTATAAGTTGTAAGGATTAGGTCAGGGTTCTTTAAGAAAAATATTGTTTTGGTCTATAGATGTCTCATTGCTTCTGTGCTATTTGTTGGAAAAGCTGTTCTTCCAATGAATTGCTTTTGCAATTTTGTCAAAACCAGTGAGGCATATATGGTTCTGTTTCTAGGTGTTCTACTCTCTGCAAGTGATTTATGTGTCTATCCCTCTGCCAATATCACACTGCCTTGGTTACTGAAGTTATGCAGTAAGACATAATGTCTGGTGGAGTGATTCCTCTCACTTTATTCTTGTTTTTGAAGATTGTTTTTAGCAATTCTAGGGTTTGTTCCTATCTAATTTTTTGTATAAGCTTGTCAACAAAAAATTATCCTGGGATTTTTACAGGGTTTACATTAAACCCACAGATTAATTTGGGAAGAATTAACATCTTTACATTTTGAGTCTTTTAATCCATGAATATAGTGTGTCTTCTTGTTTATGTAGATCTTCTTTGATTTATTTCATCAGCATTTTGTATATTTCAGTACATATGTCCTGTGCATGCTTTCTTAGATTTATATCTGAGGTACTTCATTTTATTTGGAGTCGTAAATGGCGTTGTAAATGGCATTTTAATGTTGATTTTTGCATATTCATTGTTAGTATATAGAAATGTACTGGATTTTAGGATTTAGACCTTGTATTCTGCAACTTTGCTATATGTACTTATTACCTTTAAGAAGGACTTTTCTTTTTGAGTCCTTGGGGTTTTTACATAGACAAGTATGTAGCCTGCAATTAGGGAGTTTTATTTCCTTTCCAGTGTGTTCGTCTTTTTTTTTTCCTTGCCTTGTTAAAGTGGCCAGAACTTCTAGCACATGTTGAATAGAGTGAGAGCCACATCCTTGACATGTTCCCAGTCTCAGGGCCTATATATTCAGTCTTTTACTGGTAAGAAGGATATTACCTAGAGGTTGAGATTGAGGTAGTTCTACATTTCTCCTATCTTCTTGAGAGTTTTTATCATGAAGAGGTGTTCGGTTTTGTCAAATACTTTTTCTGTGTCAGTTGATATGATCATGTGTTTTTCCTCTTTAGCCTGTTGATGGGGTGAATTACAATGATCAGTTTTTGAATTTTGGGTGAGTCTTGCATACCTTGAGTAAAAGTCACTTGGTCGTGATGCATAATTTTATACATTGCTGGGTTCAATTTGTAATTTTTTTTTTGTCTAAGTTAATGAGTTTTGTAGTTTTTAAAATAACATGTATGTAGCATAAAATTCAGCATTTATAACTATTTTAAGTGTACAATTCAGTAGCATTAATCACAATGTTATACAAACACCACCATTCTTTTTTCATTACCCTAGAGACTCAGTAACCATTAAGCCACAACTCCTCACTTCCCCCTACCCTGTTGCCCAGTAACCTCTAATCTACTTTCTGTCCCCGTGAATTTGCTTATTCTACATTTTTCATGTGAGTAGAAGCACAGTATTTGCCCTTTTTTGTCTAGCTTATTTCACTTACTATAATATTTTCAAGGTCCATCCATGTTGTAGCATATATCAGAATTTCATTCTTTTTTGTGGCTGAATAATATTTCATTATGTAACTGCCATGTTGATCCATTCATCTGTGATGGACACTTGGTGTTTCTGTTTGGAGACTTTGGGTACTATGGTCACGCATCACTCAACGTGGAAAACATCCTAAGTGGTGTTAGGCCATTTAATCATTGTGCTAACATAGAGTGTACCTACACAAACCTAGGTGGTATAGCCTACTACATACCTAAGGTATATGATACAGCCTATTGCTCCTAGACTGCAAGCCTGTACAACATGTTACTATACTGAATACTGTAGGCAGTTGTAACACAATGGCAAGTTTTCGTGTATCTAAACATAGAAAAGGGTACAGTAAATACAGTATTATAATCTTATGGAGCCACCATCATCTATGCAGTCCATCGTTGACCAAAACATTACATGGTACATGACTGCATTTAAATACTTTGTTTTAACAGTCAGCCTATTTAGGTTTATCATATAGGTCCTGACTAGGGCCTGCTGTTTTGGGCTATAGTTCCAGTAATAGCTTAGTTTTTAGAGCATTTGCAGTGCGAGCTTCAGAGTTTTAGTGATTTTCTGATACTGAAGCTGCTAAGAGTAGTTGGTGGTTCTTGAGCATTAGTTCTACATTTTATAACTGAAGTTTACAGATCTTTTTAGATGACTTAGATTCTTTAGGATAAGGTGAAAATTAATTATGGTATTTTGTCTTTAGCTATAAAATTAATTTTGAAAAACCTTTCTGGCTCATCTTTTTAGATGTATGGTATATATCCTGCACATCTGAATTACATAGGATTATATTTTGAGTTTTAGTAAACAACATGGGCATTAGCTTCTTTAGGAAGTTGATGATATTGAGTGGTCTTGATAAAATTAAAATATGGTTTATATGAGTTCCCTTGTACTTCTAATGTGGCAAGAAGACAAGTATATGTTACATTTTTCAGATAATAAAACTAATGAGGGAAGAAACAAAGCTTTGATCATAAAATGTCTTTAAGCTCGAAGGGACCCATGTGGACCTAGTCCAGGATGTTTTAAAATTGCTATTGAGCCCTTTGTTGAAACAAAATATTGAGCAAGTGTAACTGTAAAAGAGATATTGATGTATTTAACAATGTTGAATTCTAAAATAGCAGTGTCTTTTTTTTTTTTTTTTTTAAGACAGGGTCTTGTTCTGTCACCCAAGCTGGAGTGCATTGGCACTATCTCAGCCCACTGCAACCTCTGCCCCCTGGGCTCAAGCACAATGTCATTATCCTAACCAGAATTTCTTATCTTATGTTTTTCAGACTTGCTTCTAGGCACAGATTATTGACAAGCAAACCAGGAACTTTTACAGATTGTGATAAGAATTAAGATAGGGAATATAATAGAGGATAACTGGGCTGCTCTGAGAAGCCAAGGAGGGCCACACTGTGAGTGGGGTCAAGGCTGAGACTTGAAGGAGGAGAAGATGCCAGCCATAACAACAGCATGCTAGGCAAGGTGACTCTGTAACACAGCTTTGGGGACCCTCCTGAGGCCTGCCTGTGTGGCCCTTTCTTCTGTTCCTAGTTTTTGTAGAAGAAAGTTTAAAAATCGCTGATTTGACTAGTCCAGCCTTCTCCTTTTGTGGGTGAGGAGATTGTGAAGGCTAGAAGGTAAAGATATGCAATGACAACCTAGGTTCCTAATGCCTGATACCACCCCCCACAATATGGCATAAATTTTTCTACTAGTTATTTACAGCATTTGTTTTTTTCATGAGTTATTTTAGATGTATTAAAATTGCAAATTATATTTATTCATCAGTTGTAATATTCAGAAAAATACCTTCACCTAAAAGAAAAACAAAAACTTAGTAGACAAAGATTTGTCTTTAAAGTGAAAGATATTTTTAATCTTAACTAAATGAAATAGGGAAGTAAACAGTTTGTGAACTTCTGTTTTGAAAGCAAGTGTTCCTATTTTGAAACAACTGACACATTGACATTTTTACACTGATTATAAATGGCTTTGTTACTCACAGACAGCTTAGAGATGTGGGTCGGTGTGAGGAGCTTAAAGTAGATCTTACTGAGCCCAGCTTCAGAGTAAATATGAGTAGAATCGTAAAAGCCAGAAATGTAAATCCTTTTCTTTCCTTTGTAAATCTTCCTTTCCTCACTTATTGTCAGAAATATATGCCCAATTAAAAAAATTTGGTTGCTAAAAGGTGCTGTTAGTCATGAGCATTCTGTAAAGTTTATTTTGAAAATAAATAGGGATGGGTTTAGAAGCACAGATTCACATTGCCAGAATTCATACTTTTCTCTAGCCACTTTCTTGCTAAGTATATCTCTCTGTGTGTATTTCTTTACCTTAAAATGGATCATAATGTCTGTGTCATAGGGTTAGTTTGAATATTAACAACAGTGATCAGTAATTATTAGTTTATTTTTATTTCAATTACAGTTGTTTGATGCTTGAACTAGGGAACATCAGGAAAGTTTGGGATTCATTAACAGCATAAAATTAGGGGAAATATTTTTGGGAGAGGAAGCTGTTACTAGTTCTGGTTTTGAATCTGGAGATGTGATAACTTGACTGACTTTTGTTACATTTTATATTTTATAGCTTAATAACTGCATGTGAAATGATTAAGTCTGTATCTAGTGTTCTGTTTTTTGAGGCATATAATTGAAAGGTATTATAATTGGCTGTTTAAAGCAAAATACGTTAATTTGTTTTATGCCAGAGTTGAATCCTATTTATCTCTACATCTTTTAAGGAAAGCCAGTGATGTGTAACATAGTATTTTCCTTTTGAGACTTTATAATCAGCTGCTGTTATTAATTTTTTTAACTAACATTCATATTTTTAACATAACTCATACTTTTTAAAATATGAATTCATAATTCATAATAGAATTTTTATATATTTTTAAAGCTTCTGATTTAAAAAGCAGTATACCCAAACTACTGCCTTTATGTAGTTCTCTTCAGTTAGATCAGCATTTCTTCTGGCTCAATGGTGGGAACTCATTCAGTGGTCGTTCTATTGGAACTCTTAATAGCAGCCACCTATAGCTCGTTTCCAGTTGTTTCTTGTTGGTTTCCTCTGCCAATTAGACATAAAGCTTCTAATTAGAGGCCTTGACTTTATGTCTTTTACATTGTGAACATCTGGCTGTTCAGTTATTTCTTGTTAGTTCATTGTGTTCTTATGTTAATAAATTTGTCTTCAGTAGGGAATAACCAAAAAATTCTCTGGATCCTGTGAAATTTCAGTTTGTGTTAAAAAGTGGGGGGAACAGGTGAGGAATGGGATGGGTGAGCTGAGCAGAGCCTTTTATATTCATAGTC
The DNA here is from genome assembly GCF_000001405.40 of Homo sapiens. Taxonomy (NCBI): domain Eukaryota; kingdom Metazoa; phylum Chordata; class Mammalia; order Primates; family Hominidae; genus Homo; species Homo sapiens. The sequence continues at coordinate 856,007 of NW_025791765.1, read as the reverse complement.
CTTTATTGTAATGAGTTTATCACTTTACTTAGAGACATTCTAAGTATACTGTGTCAGTAATTCTGTTGGAGCCATTAGCTCTGATCTTGATATTGAAATTCCACTATAAGCCAGGACTAGAGATAACATAACCAGAAAAAGGTCATTTGCATCAGTAAGTACAAATGCCAGTGCTTATTGTACCTGAGCAAAAAGGTGGGACATCATTCATGCTTTCAGTATTTATTGAATATTCTCTATATGCCACAGACTGGTTAGGGGATGAATAGAAGTGGAGCAGGTTGGCACTGTCATTGAAGAGAAACACAGGAAATGGAGGACAGGAGTTTTCCCAAAATAAAATCAGGATGTGACTGCTAGACTAAGGAGAAAAGGATGCTTGGCAGGCAGAAAAAACATCCAACGAGGTAATGTAATCTAATTAACTAGTATCTTATTCTGCTGCTTGACTGTCCACTTTTGTCATACCGGAACAGCCAGGTACATATGTGGGACAGTGAGTGTCTTCCCTGATTTCCAAAAGACCAACAAATGGGAGTCAGTGAATTCCATATTAAGCCAAATGAAATATCACATAGTTGAAATTCTGCATGTGAAAGTTGTCCCTTTTCTCCCATTTATTCAGCAATTTATAGCAATATGGGTTTATGGATATTTATTTTATACTTTGGGCTACATCTAGTACTTCTTCATTTTGTTGCTCAGATTGTTTCAGCTTTGGTCATTTGGGAGCTCTTTCTGTTGATTCTTACCTTCCTTTCTCTATCCCCATCAGTGTAGGATTTGGGTGGTTTTCTCTATTTTTTACTTTCCGGCACTATAGGATGCTCCATTCTCATCTCGTGTATTTCCTGCCCCTGTCCTCAAATCGGCCATTGCTCCAGGAAGCCCTGGTTTCTTTTATTGGAAAATAATATTAGAACACAAGATCTGAGTTCCAGGTGTGTTCTTTGCTATTGGCATGTCATTGCTTTAGGCTCTTAGAGCTGACAGAGCAAGGAAATACATGTATGTATACTAACCTATGAATATACACATCTATAAATATTCTTATATGTATGTAATAATGTATATGTTTCACTAAACATGAATTCTTACTGATATCACTGACTCTTAACCATTACCACCTGGATCATTTTGGCCTCCCCCGCCTTGTTTCTGTATAAATTGCTCTTCCAACAGTGAGACACCTGGCTCCCAGTATCCACCATCTGTGTACTTAATTGTTCGATTTCAGTGTACATGTATAGTGGCATCAGAATGGTTAACCCAAACTCCCATGGGAAAAAGCATTATTAACTAGAATACATTGCGTGTGTATGGTTTCTTTTGCCTTTAGTCTTACAGATTCTATTCATTTCCAGAATTACTTAGGTGAGCACTCTCCCCTCTCCCCCCACTTCAGTAAGGTTGATTCATTCATTTGTAATACAGTTAAATTGTTTTGTCATTTTATGCATTCCATCCTGGAGTCTCCCAGTCTTCTAAATAAATTTTTAAAATTTGCATACATTTAGATTCACTTTTTGTGCTGTGAAGTTCTGTTTTGACAAATGCATCATGTCCTGTATCCACCATTACAATTTGATAAAGAATGGTTTTACCACCCTAAAATATATTTGTGCTTCACTTATTCAACCTTTCCCATCTCCCCCTGATCTCCTAGCAACCACTGATCTTTTTACTATCTCCATAATTGTCCCTTTTCCAGAATGTCATGTACTTGGAAGCATACAGTATGTAGCCTTTTCTTTTAGTAATATTCCATTGTATAGATATACCACAGTTTGTCTGTTCACCTTTGATGGCCATCTTGACTATGCCCAGATTTTGGTGATTATGAATAAAGCTGCTTTAAGGAATTGTATGTAGATTTTTGTATGTAAGGTTTCAAATCAGTTCAGTCAATACCAGAAGCACGATCGCCAGATTGTATGGTATAACTATGTTAGCTTTTAAATATATTACCTTTGCATTGCTGTTTCTTGGATCAGAATAATCTTTTGCTATTTTCCCTGCCCACTTCCTCACCAAATCCCTTTGACTGTGGATCCCAGGTCATATCATCACTACAAAAAAGCAGATGATACCGAATTTCAGCTGATCATTTCTTGGGGGAAATATAATACTGTAGTGATCTTTTCTATATGCTTTTGATATTTTCAATTAATCTATCAGGGAAAATAATTAGTTGCATCTTGTTGAATTTGACTATTTTGTGCTTTCTCATAATATAACAGTAATGGATATTTTGAAGTTGATGCATATAGCCTGTAGGTTGTTGAAGTTACTTTATTATTTGTTTTATTTTAAAGTATTTCTTAGTTTGTAAAATTCTGAAGTATTAGTCATATTTTTCTTTTCAACCATCACCATTAAGCAGTCCATTTTTAGATATAAAATTATATTAATTAACTTTAAAGTCAAAGATGTTATGAAAATCAAATTTATGTTCCTGTAAGTGATGGTATGTTTTGTTTTCTTCACAGCATTCGTTCAGTCAGAGAGCATAATAGAAGTACTGCGTTTTGATGATGGAGGGCTACTACAGGTAATTTTTTTTTAAGTAGACAAGTTATTGTTAAGCCTTGAATAATATCTGGTTATTATTTTTCTTTTAAAAATGTAATTGGTTTATCTGAAATATATTTATATTTTATGAGCTTTGAAGATAGGTCAGTAGAGTCTTTAGTAATATAAAAACCTCTGTAGTTACGTGAGTTTTCTTTTAGATTAAATATTTCTTTAAAATGCAAACTCATTGTGGTATTAAAACCTTGTAAATAAGTACATTATCATTCTTATCTTTACGTAAGAGGTGTTGAGAAATGTAATAGAGAGTGGTTGCATAGTATTTGCCTAGAGTCAGCTTTGTATGTTTTAAAACTGAATAAAAACTGAACATAATGAGCTCTAATTTTATAAAGCCTTCCTACTAAAAAATGATCTTAAGTCTCTTTTTTCTAGTTCTTTAATCTGTTTCAAGGTGAGAACTTGGAGAACCTATGGGAACAAATGTTTTAAATATCTCCCTTTAGGTGGTTGTTTATAGGATCTGGATGGCAGACAAATCAGGACTGAATTTCTGGAAAATTCCCTAAGTGTGTTTGCTCTGTATTGATTGAGGAAGGATTTGTGTCTGTTAGGAACTGGACATCTAGGTTGCAGGTTGATAATCCATTCTAAAAATTCTGGAGCATGATTTGTATTTTTGCTGAGGGAGGCTGCTAATTTGTATCTAGATGGAGTTGGCTATGGAAAAGCTTGTGAACTGGGATGTGATTCACTAATAGTCTTTGGATCTGCTCAGATGCTTGGACAGGAGCTTGGGTGAGATCTCAGAATTCTGTGGCAAAGGTAATTTTGGTCTAGAAAAATGTTGAGGGCAAGTAGTATCAATTGGTTACTTAAGCCACAAAAAAACCTAAGACTCCTACAGAATGTCTAATATTGAGATGCTATATAATGTAGTATATGGCCCCTAAATAGCTGAATAGAAGACCCTTTTGAATAGATGTAAAATTGTTCATTTTAATGTTGAAGAGTGTTTCTCAGAAACAATTTTTATTTTGACATAATGTTATCTTTTTCTGACTGTAATTTACCAATAGGTTTAACGATTTTAAATAACTCCTGGTTTCTTATGCTATGATTAGAACAGAAAAATGTACATGTAGCATTTCTATGGCAGAATATATATCCTTTCTCTAATTTAAATTTAAGCTAAAGCAGGGAGAGTGTCAAAGCAACAACCTTGTTTTACATTATTTAAAATGTGAATTTTGCCCAAGAACATTCCTTCTTAGATCTGCAATTCATGTACATTCATGTGGCTTGGCCATAGTAATTTTTTTTTTTTTTTTTGAGACAGGGTCTCGCACTGTCACCCAGGCCTGGAGTGCAGTGGCGCGATCTCGGCTCACCACAAGCTCTGCCTCCCGGGTTCACACCATTCTCCTGCCTAGGCCTCCCAAGTAGCTGGGACTACTGGCGCCTGCCACCATGCCCAGCTAATTTTTTTTGTATTTTTAGTACAGACGGGGTTTCACCATGTTAGCCAGGATGGTCTCAATCTCCTGACCTCATGATCCGCCCGCCTCGGCCTCCCAAAGTGCTAGGATTACAGGTGTGAGCCACCGCGCCCGGCCAACTCATAGTAATTTTTTTAATCCTCAAAAATCAACTGATAAGAAATCAGTAAAAAAATAAATTTTAAAAATTGCCAAAAAGATTAGACTTGTTTTCTTTATTTTTAGATAAGGAAAATTAGGTTTATGGAAGTTAAATAATTTATTCTGTAGTACTCAATTGCTAGAGCAGGAATTCAGTGTCCAGTAAGTACCATACTCACCATGTCTAATTTCAAAACTCTCCACGGCACGATGCATGTGCAGTGCTCTCAGATATTCCATGGGTTTGCACTTGTTATGAATATAAATTATAACCCCCATAGATTATGTTTTCTATAGTTGATGCTTTGGCCATTGTCATTCCTGTTTGGCTGGACTAAGATTTAGCATCCAGAATACGTAAAGATCAGACCGTTCCTAAGATGACACGGACTCTGAGGAATCTGCATCTCAACAGAAGAAATCCACATTAAGGCCATAACCACAGGATGCCCTGGTCAGGTATCTCAAACCATCATTCCCATCCTAACTGATCAGAATGGTTGGCTCTTCTAACCTGTTCCTTTGAAAGATTATAAAATGGAATAACAAAAGATTCTTTCATTTACAAGCATAATTTAATAAACCTGAATCTGCTTCCTAATCTAACTTTCTTTTTAAAAAAAATAGAGGCAGGGGTGGACACAGTGGTTCACGCCTGTAATCCCAACACCTTGGGAGGCTGAGACGGGTCAGTCGCTTGAGTCCAGGAGTTCAAGACCAGCCTGGGAAATGTAGGGAAACCTTGTCTCTACAAAAAATTAGCCAGGTGTGTTGGCACACACCTGTGGTCCCAGCTACTCTGGTGTCTGAGGCAGGAGGATCGCTTGAGCCTGGGAGGTCGAGACTTCAGTGAGCTGTGATTGTGCCACTGTACTCCAGCCTGGGCAGCAGAGTGAGATCCTGTATCAACAACTACAAAAAAGTGTTCCCTGAGTTCAAGTCCCTTAAATTTATTTTGCACCTCATTTTAAAGGGGGGTTGAGAGTCCTGAGCTAAAGTGGTGAGCAAAGCCCCCATTATTGCCCAGCCATTCCTCCTCTAAGAGGTTCACGCCCTTGGCCAAAGTCCTCAAAACCTGGAGCATCTCAGCCCCAGCTCCGCATTGGAATCACCTTGAGAGCTTTAAAAATTTCTGGTGACAGGTACTTTCCTAAGGGCATTACAGGAACGAACTCACCTGGGCCTCACCAGCAACTGATGGCATGGTACCCAAGGGTCCCATTGTACAGGTGGTGGGATGTGGTGGGGACAGGGGCCAGGTGTACCACAGGCAGGGAGATGGTGGCTGAGCTGGGGTAAAAAATGCATGCCTGTCCCCACAGGGCCAGTGGACCCCCATGTCCTGACCTTGGAGGTCCAGAGAGCACATCAGAACTTGGCCAGCATACGGAGCTCCACAGCTGACTGACCACACAGTTCATAGAGACAGGGTCTCACTCTATTGCCCAGGCTGGTTTGCAGTGGCGCAATGACAGCTCACTGCAACCTTGACCTCCCGGGCCCAAGTGAACCTCTCGCCTCAGACTCCAGAGTAGCTGGGACTACAGGCACATGCCACCATACCCATCCAATTTTTTGTATTTTTTATAGAGACAGAGGTCTATGTTGCCCAGGCTGGCCTTGAATTCCTAGCCTCAAGCCATCTTCTCGCCTTGGTCTCCCAAAGTGCTGGGATTACAGATGTGAGTCACCATGCTCGGCCTCTAATCTAACTTTTTTTTTTTTGAGATGGGGTCTCGCTCTGTCACCCAGGCTGGAGCGCGGTGGCGCAGTCTCGGCTCACTGCAAGCTCTGCCTCCTGGGTTCACGCCATTCTCCTGCCTCAGCCTCTTGAGTAGCTGGGACTACAGGCACCCGCTACCAAGCCCGACTAATTTTTTGTATTTTTAGTAGAGACGGGGTTTCACCGTGTTAGCCAGGATGGTCTCAATCTCCTGACCTCGTGATCCACCCGCCTCAGCCTCCCCAAGTGCGGGGATTAGGCCACTGCGCCCGGCCTAATCTAACTTTTTTATATGAAGATAAAGGTCAGGAAAAAAGCTAGCTCTGTATTTTTTTCACTATCCTGCCAGAATAATAAATAGAATTTTAAAATTTTGGAAAGCAAGCTCTAGAATGTTTGTGAGTTGAAAACACAAACAGAATTTTGTCTTTTTTTTTTTTTTTTTTTTTTTTTAAAAAAAAAGACAGTGTCTTGCTCTGTTACCCATGCTGGAGGCCAGTGGCACAATCATGGCTCACTGTTGTCTCAACCTCCCAGGCTCAAGTGACCCTCCTCCCTCAGCCTCTCAAGTAGCGGGGACTACAGGCACATGCCACCACATCTGGCTAATTATTCATTTTTTATAGAGGTAGGTTCTCACTATGTTGCCCAGGCTGGTCTCAAACTCCTGGGCTCAAGCAGTCCTCCCATCTCAGCCTCCCAAAATGCTAGGATTATAGACCTGAGCCACTATGCCTGGCAGAATTTTGTCTTTTAAAACTTAAAGTCCTGTTTTATTTTATTTTTATTTATTTACTTTTTTTGAGATGGAGTCTCGCTCTGTCACCCAGGCTGGAGTGCAGTGAGCAATCTCAGCTCATTGCAGCCTCTGCCTCCTGGGTTCCAGCAGTTCTCTTGCCTCAGCCACCAGGATTACAGGCGTGTGCCACAACACCCAGCTAACTTTTGTAGTTTTAGTAGAGACAGAGTTTCACCATGTTGGCCAGGTTGGTCTCGAACTCCTGACCCCAAGTGATCCACCTGCTTTGGCCTCCCAAAATGCTGGGATTACAGGTGTGAGCCACTGTGCCTGGCAAAAGCCATGTTTTATAAATGGAATTCTAACCACTTAATTAGAGAACCTATATTGAGCCTTCTTGCAAAGAGTATACGATTTTGATTCATTTATTTTTTTTCTTTAAAGTGTTTATTGTGAGATATAATTTACATATAGATGCTTAAATTTGGGGAGGGAATGCAAGGCAAATACCTGTGTAACCACCACCCAGATTAAAAACTAAAAACAGGCCATTACCCTCCAAAGTTTCCCCTCAAGCTCTCTCCTAGTTACTACCCATAAAGTTAGCCATTTTCCAGAATTTTATAATAATTGCCTTTCCCTGTAATTTTAACATCTGAGTGTATATCTCTAAATACTACAGGGTCACATATTTTTTGAAGTTCATACAGTTTGTATTTTTTTTTTCTGGCTCCTTTTTCTCAGCATTATGTTTCTAAGATTCACAGCATTATGTGTTGAGTGTAACTGTAGTTACTTCAGTTTCATTGCTGAATAGTGTTGCATTGTATGGATATGCCCCAATTTATGTATTATTTCTGCTGTTTATGTGTATTTTGGTTGCTTCTTGTTTTTTGCTGTTAAGAATAATGCTGTCTCTTGGTGAACATAATATATGTGTTCAAATGATTTTTTTCTGAGGGATTAGAATGCAGTTGTTGGGTCATAGAGTAGGGATCCCCAACCCCCATGCCATGGACCAGTACCGGTCTGTGGCCTGTTAGGAACAGGGCTGCACAGCAGGTGGTGGGTGAAGAAGTGAACATTACCTCCTGAGCTCAGCCTCCTGTCAGATCAGTGGTGGCATTAGATTCTCATAGGAGTGCAAACCCTATTGTGAACTGCACATGAGAGATCTAGGTTGTGCGCGTGCCTTAGGAGAATCTAACTAGTGCCTGATGATTTCAGGTGGAACAGTATTATTCTGAAACCATCCCGCTAACCCCCCATCCATGGAAAAATTGTCTTCCATGAAACCAGTCCCTGGTGCCAGAAATGTTGGGGACCACTGTCATAGAGTATGTGTATCTTCCATTTTAATAGATAATGCATATAGTTTTCCAAAGTGGTTGTTTTAGTTTGCAAACCTGTCATCAGGAATTCCTCTGCAACAACTTTGTAAAGTGTTTTCTTCCTTCCCTCCTTCTGTTCTGGAGAATGGCTAATGATCTGTAATTTCCATTTTATTTTCGTTTCCCTGATTTCTCATAAAGCTGAGCAACTTTTCATGTTTACTTGACCATTTGGATATCTTCCTTTGTGACATCCGTTAAGTCTTTTACCCATTTTGCTGTTGGTTTGCATGTCTTTTTTCCCATTGTTTTGTAGAGGTTCTTTATAAGTTCTGAATACAAGATCTTTCCTGGAGCCGTAACCTCACAGCAGTAACAAAAATCAGTTCCATTACATGAGTTCTTTATTGGTTACATATATTGAAAATAGCTTCTCTCACTGGATGGATTGCCCTTTTGGCTTATGTAATGGTGACTTTTAGTGAACAGGAATTCTTAATTTTAATGAAGTTCAGTCTGTCAGTATTTTCCATTATGGTTAATACTTTTTTATTTTGTGTCTTGTTCAATGTTTTTCTATCCCAAGGTCGTGAAGATATTCTCCCGTATTCTAGAATTTTACTGTTTTGCCTTTCACAGTTAGCTCAAATTCTGTCTGGAATAAATTTTTGTTATTGATGTGAGATCAAGATTTTATTTCTTGTATTTGATTGTCTCAGCATCCTTTATTGACTATTTCCCAATGTTTTCTTTCCCTAGTATTTGTCAGTGACACCTTATTCATAAATCAAGTGTCCATATATGTGTGAGCCTGTTTCTGGGCACTGTATTGGATTTCTTTGGCTTATTTGTCTATCCTAATACCAGGGTCACCGTTTTAATGACTATAGTTTTTAAAGTTTTGATATTTGGTAGAACAAATCCTGACACTTTGTTATTCTTCTCAGTAATGTCTTGGTTATTCTCAGTTCTTTGCCTTCCATATGTATCTTTTCAATTAGCTTTACACACACACACACACACACACACACACACACACACTCGGGATTTTTTATTAGCGTCACTCAGAATCTGAAGATCAATTTGGCAAGAATTAAAAATCTTTCAGAATTTTCAGTATTCAGTCTGACAGTCTGAGACAGTATATTTTTCAACTTATTTAGGTCTTCTTTATCTCATAATTTTATATTCTGCATAAAGATCTTGAACATCTTTCGATAGATTTATTTCTGGGGCTTTGGTATTTTTTAATACTACTGTAAGTGACATTTTTTCAAAATGTTCGCTTTTTGTCATTATTAGGTTGAAGCATATTGCTGATGCCCGGCCTTTATTGATCTATAAAAGTGGCAATTTCATACGACTCAACATAAAATGTAGAAATGTGGTTGCTTTTAATATATTTGCTGTGTATCCTGAAAACTTGCTAAATTACTTATTGATTCTAATAACTTAGCTGTAGATGCTTTTGAACAACCTCCATAAACTATCATCTGAGCTTGATGACATTTCTTCAGTTTGGCACTCAAAATCAACTGTCACACATTCTACCTTTTCTTTTTCTTACCTTAACTTTACTAGCTACAGCCAGTATGATGTTAATACAGTGCTATTTAGTAGTCCTCTTTGACACTTTCCTCATCTCAGAAATACAACATTCAATATTTCACGGTTAGATACGATTTTTTCTTCACTGCCCCCTTTGCCACCCCCACCCAAGATAGCCTTTATCACATGTCAGTTTGAGTTCTCAACAAGATCCTGAGACAGAATTAGGAGTGCAAGAGATTGAGGGCTACTGCCTGTGAAAAATAAGCTAAAGAAAGCAGGATTGGGCAAGGAGAGTCTCAGACTGTGATGCAGAATCTCGGCCAACCCAGTGGGGAGCTCTGGAGCAAAGATTGCCCATTGGAAGCATCCTGCACTGGGTAGAGTTGGCCAGGCCCTAGTATACCTGCTGTGCTCATTCATTGTCTGGGAGGAGCCCAAGAAGAACGTGGCCTTACCTCAAATGCCACAGTTGATCCCAGAGTACATAGGTGGAGGCTGGTAGCCAACAGTGTTTTTCACAACTGAATGCCAAGTTCTTCCTTGTAGGGAGATCTGAGCTGTTCATAGAAAAAATATTGGAAATCAAAGCCAGGCTGGGCGCAGTAGTTCATGCCTGTAATCCCAGTACTTTGGGAGGCTGAGGCAGGTGGATCACTTGAGGTCAGGAGTTCGAGACAAGCCTGACCGATATGGTGAAACCCTGTCTCTACTAAAAATACCAAAGTAGCCAGGCATGGTGGCACATGCCTGTAATCCCAGCTACTCAGGAGGCTAAGGCAGGAGTATCGCTTGAACCCGGGAGACGGAGGTTGCAGTGAGCTGAGATCGTGCCATTGCACTCCGGCCTGGGCAACAAAGGTGAAACTCCATCTCAAAAAAAGAAAAGTCAAAGCCAAAGAGATACATTCTAAAAGCAACTAGAGAAAAAGAGAGACCTTCAAAGAAGGTAGAATTAGCCTGACAGCTGACTTATAGACTGAAACAATGAGAGGCAAAAATAATATATAATAAAATTTACTGAAAAAATTTGCCAAACTAGAATTCTATACCCAATGAAAATATCCTTTACAAATGAAAGTGAAATCGACATTTTAAAATAGATAAGAATGGAGAGAATTTGTCACCAGAAAATTTGTGCCAAAGGAAATAATACAGTCTTTAGGCTGAAGGTAAATGATTTTAGAAGCTCAGAAACGCAAAGGAATAAAGAACATTAAAAATGTTTAAGTGTGTGGATAACTAAATGAATGTATACTTTGTAGAACAATAATAATAATGTTTTGACTAATGCATTGTGGCAGAACATTTTGGTACCACTAAGGCTAAATCTTATGAAGCTTGACAACTTCTACCTGGGTCTGTCAGTTTTGGAACGTTTCTTTTGGGAAGTGAATCACCGTGATGTGAGAAACTTAAGCCACATGGAAAGGCCACATGTAGTCTTCTGGTCAGCAGTCCCAGCTGAGCTCCCAGCTGACAGCCAGCATCACTTTCCCATCACGTGAATGAGCCATCTTAGACAACCAACACATTTGAACTTTCAGACAAATGCTGCCTGAAATCACATGTAACTGCAATACAAAAGAGACTTTAAGTGAGAATAAATTGTTTTAAGCCGCTAAACCTTAGACTGCTTTATTATGCAGCAGTAGATAACCAGAATGCTTGATATATCATATCAGACTTGGTTGGTCTGTGTTCAGTTTTCTTCCACTGCTTCAGAAATGCCTTTTTGCATTTGGTTTGTCCAAAACAGGATCGAGACAAGGTCTACACATTGCATTTGGTTGCTATGTCTCCTAAGTCTCCTTTATGCTATTTCCCCCACCCGCCTTTTTGTTGTTGTTTTTGTTGTTGTTGTTGTTAATGAAATTGGCTCATTTGTCTGTGGGATTTCCTACATTCTCAGTTTGGTTATTTTCATCCTCTTGGTGTCATTTAACATTCACTTATGGTGTGAATTTTCTGTAAACTGTTAGCTAAATCTAGAGTCTTGATTAGGTTTAAATTCATTTGTTTTTCTTGGCAAGAAGATTTTATAGCTAGTTGTGCAGTAATCTGGTCTTTGTCTCTGGTCCTGAAGATGCTCTAAATCTTGGAATTTTCTTAATAATAAGAGTGTCTTTGTTATTCATGAGTCCCTTGGATCACATCTGAGTTTATACCTAATGAGAATACTCAAGATGGGGGTTGGTCATCAGAAAAACCAACCATGTTGGCCGGGCGCAGTGGATCACACCTGTAATCCCAACACTTTGGGAGGCTGAGGCCGGTGGATCGCCTGTGGTCAGGAGTTCGAGACCAGCGTGACCAACATGGTGAAAACCCGTCTCTACTAAAAATACAAAAATTAGCCAGGCATGGTGGCATGCGCCTGTAGTCCCAGCTACTCGGGAGGCTGACACAGAATTGCTTGAACCCGGGAGGCGGAGGTTGTAGTGAGCCGAGATCGTGCCACTGCACTCCAGCCTCAGTGACAGAGCAAGATTCTGTCTCAAGAAAAAAAAAAAAAAGAGAGAAAAAAACCAATCATGTGATTAGAGGGTTGGGCTTTGAGCCAACCCACCCTCCTCTAGGGAAGCCGAAATGTGAGTTGGGTCACATGGTGGTCAGTGATTGAATCAGCCATACCTTACCTACCTGATGAAACTGGATACTGAAGCTTGCTAGAACCTGCTGGGAGGTAATTGAATCATGGCGGCGGTTACTCCCATGCTGTTCTTGTGATTGTGAGTTCTCATGAGATCTGGTGGTTTTATAAGGGGCTTTTCCCCCTTTGCTCAGCACTTCTTGCTGCTGCCATGTGAAGAAGAATATGTTTGCTTCCCCTTCCGCCATGATTGTTAGTTTTCTGAGGCGTCCCAAGCCCTGCAGAACTGTGAGTCAGTTAAACCTCTTTTCTTTATGAATTAATTACCCAGTCTTGGGTATGTCTTTATTAGCAGTGTGAGAACAGACTAATGCAGATGGTTAGCATCAGAATTGTACTGCAGTTCACTAGTGGGACTGTACATTGTCTGTATTTTTCTTGAGGACATGCTATGCCAGATTGCCTTAGATTTTTAGGTCACAGATTTTCTTATGTAGGGACTTAATGATTCTGGAAATAAGATATTGTGGCATTATTTCTGTTGATCTAAGCCAGATGTTGGCAAACTTTTTCGGTAAAGGACCAGATATTAACTACTTCAGGGTTTGTGTCCCGAATGGTCTCTATCACAACTATTCAACTTTGGTCATCGTAGTGTGAAAGCTGCCGTAACAGTATGTGAGAAATGGGCATAAAACTTTATTTGCAAAAGCTGGCAGAAGACTGGATTTGGCTCATGGGCTAATAGATTACCAACTTCTTTTCTAAATTGTCTTGGAAATGGGCTTTAATGTTCTCCCAGGAGAAAAGGAAATGGAGAAGGAGCTGTGATTTTGACTTGTAAGGAGGCCTAGAAGTACTCATCTTTTGTTTTAAATTAAAGGACTTCTATTATAAAAGAAATATAAGCTTGTAGAAAATTTGAAAAATGTGAAAAAATAATAAATATAAGTCATATTTATTGGGTGTTGACAAGTCAGGTACTCTTCTAAATTCTTAAATACATGAGATGGTATTCATTTTATGATCATTTTACAGGTGAGCATATTAAAGTGCAGGGAGTTTAACCTAACCAAATAAATGATTATTAAGTGATAAAGCTAGAATTGAAAACCAAGCATTTGACTCTGAGGCCTAAGTTTTTAACCGCTCTGCAATAACAGGGGTCATTACCCTTGTATCCCACTGCCTAAATGTACTACAAGGTAGTGCTTTTTGTTTTTTCAGTTATTTTTCTCTCTGCAAACAAAGCTAGATTTTCTCACTCTACATTATCAGTTTTACAATATTACAACTAATTTTGTACTCAAAACAGCCACTTCATGTCATGTCAAGTTGATTACCTGTGGCTGAAGAGAGAAGTGGGTGGGACACTAGAAAGCCGTCATCAGAGGCCAACAGCTCTGCAGCTCCTTGTAGTTGGCAGAATGCTGCTTTTACAGACTTTCCCCAAGGGTATTTGGCTAGTGAGGGCAGAGCTGGTGTTTGCACACAGGTTTTTATTTTCTACTTTAAATTTTGAGTCTTCTCAGAAATACCTGCTCCCCACTTCATCCTCATTTTGATTCTCCCTTTACTACTATTTCCTGCCCTCTATTGTAGTACAATAAGTGGTACAAAAGAAGAATAAATAGCGGGTTCAGAAACAGCCTTAAGGCTGGGTGCCGTGGCCCACGCCTATAATCCCAGTACTTTGGGAGGCTGAGGCGGGTGGATCATTTGAGGTCAGGAGTTTGAGACCAGCCTGACCAACATGGTGAAACTCCATCTCTACTAAAAATTAAAAAAAATTAGCTGGGCGTGCTGGCACATGCCTGTAGTCCCAGCTACTTGGGAGGCTGAGGCAGGAGAATTGCTTGATCTCGTGAGGCAGAGGTTGCAGTGAGTTGAGATCACTCCACTGCATTCCAGCCTGGGCAACAGGCAAAATTTTATTTTATTAAAATAAAATAAGAAACAGCCTTAAAAACTAGGAATAAAGAATACCACAGAATACTAAAATGGTATGCAAAGTCTGAATATAGAAAGATCTCACACCTTAAACAAAAACTAACTCAAAATGGATCATGGACTTAATGTAAAACTATAATAAAACCTTTAGGGAGAATAAAACTAAGAGGAAAGCTTCAGCTTACAGGGCTAGGCAAAGAGTTCTTGACACCAAAGAATTAATACCAGATGTGCAATGTATAAAGGAAAGATCGATGAATTTAAAACTTGCTCTGGGCCAGACGCAGTACCTCATGCCTGTAATTCTAGCACTTTGGGAGGCCAAGGGAAGAGGAGCCATTGAGCCCAGGAGTTTAATTAAGACCAGCTTAGGCAACATAGTGAGACCTTGTCTCTAGTAAAATAAAAAGTAAGTAAATAAAATAAATAAAAAATTGTCCAGGTGTGGTGGTGTGCACCTGTAGTCCCAGCTACTCAGGAGTCAGAAGCAGAGAATCTTTTGAGCCTGGGACATCAAGCCTGCAGTGAGCCATGATCACACTGCTGCACTCCAGCCTGGGCAACAGAGCCAGACTGGTCTCACAAAAACAAACAAACAAAACCTTTCTCTGCAAAAGACCATGTGAAGATGTAAAGATAAATATAGACTAGGAGAAAATATTTGCAAGTCACACACCTGACAATGGACCTAGTTTCTGGAATATAGAAAGAACTCTCGAAACTCAATAGTATAAAAATAAAGGAAACAGGGAAAAGAGATGAGCACACATTTCCCTGAAGGGGAAATACAGATGGTAAAAACGACATGAAAACCTGTTCAACATTGTTAGCCACCAGGCAATGCAAATTAAAACCCAAAACACAAAACAGTGACAACACCAAATACTGGCAAGGATGTGGAGAAACTGGATCACGCATGCATTACTAGAGGGTATGTGAGTGATACAGCTACTCTGGAAAAAACAGTTTGGCAGTTTCGTATAAATCTAAACATGTGGTTACTATAATTGACCTACTAATTGCTCTCTTGGGGATTCTCCCAAAGAAATGAAAATTTATATTTGCATTAAAACATGTATATAAATGTTCATAGCAGCTCTGTTTATAATAGCCCCAAACTGGAAACAACCCAGATGTATTTCAGTAGATGTACTGTTAAACAGTGATACGTTCATACCATGGAATACAACTCAGCAATAAAAAGGAATAAAGTGTTGGCACACACAACAACCTGGGTAAGTCTCCAGAGAATTAGGCTGAGTGAAAAAAGCCAACTCCAAAAGGTTACATGTGCATGATTTCATTTATATGACCTTTTTAAAATGAAAAAATTTTAGTCATGAATAATAGAGGAATGGTTGCCAGGGCTTGGGGGGAAGGGCAGGAGGAAGATGAGTGTGATTATAAAAGCGACACACTGGATTCTCAGGGTGCTGACACTGTTCTGTGTCTTGACTGGTGTTCATGAACCTACACAGCAGAGAAAATTGTGTAGAACTAAATACATGAACAAACACAAATGAGGACATACAAAACTGAGACCTTCTGAACAAGGCAGGTGGATCGTACCAGTGTCGCTGTGCTGCTTGTGATGTTATGCCATAGTGTTTGCAGAATGATACAGTGGGGAAACTGAGTTAAAATATAGCTCTTTTTACTATTTCTTGCAACTGCATGTGAATCTACAGTTATCTCAGTGAAAATTCATGTTAAAAATACATACACACAGAGAAGCACAGGAAGCAAAACAATTAGAAAGTCAGGAAAGACCCCTTTTGTGAGTTAAAAATTCTTAAAACTCCCTCACAGATGTCATCCATTTTCACTATGAGATGATTTGCAGAGAACTTTGTGGGGGAGATTGGGTTGATAAGAAGTAGGATTACATGTTGAGATCTTCATAATCAAAAGCAGACCTCATCCTCTACCTTCCCCCAACCCAGTCCTGGAGGAAGTATGTAATTTTGTCTCTAAAGGTGACAGAGAAGCATAGTCTCATCGCCTGCAAGGAAACTGGCTCCCAGGTATATCCCTGGGGAAAGCTGCCCAGTATGTAAGTAATACTCAAATGGCGCCTGGTGTGGCTTCCTGGTACCACGGGTTTGTGTGCATGTGCTGCCTGTACCATCAAGAAGCTTAAATTCTAGGGTGTGCAGACCTTGTCTTATTTCTAAGCATCCATGCCGTGTGCACAACTGCCACGTACCTCATTCTGAAGTGAATTTCATTTTATTTTTCTAACAAGATTAAATCTTCTGTTTAACAATAATGCAGTATAAAAGTATGGCCATCTTAAAATTTGTTAGCAATAATATAGCCAACTTCAGCTCATGTAAGCTAAAAGTTGGTTTTAGGCATATGCAGTTCTGTCAAGGATAGGTTATTGTATGAATGCAGTACTAGACCAGATCGAAGGATTTGAATTCTAACTCTTACCATTTGCTAATTTAGAACATTTAGAGGCTTAGTTTCTTTATCTGTAAAATGAATTCTGTATTTATCTCCAGTGTGTTAAGAACTGCAAGGACCACTGGAAATACAAACACAGTTAAGACAGTAACGCACTTTGAATTAAAAGGCAAGGAGATGTTATTACAAATGAACATCTAAATTATTGATATCTCTATAAAATTGAGGTTGTAGTACGATGTTCAGTCTTGGCCTGTGTACGTTTTGGACCAGATAATTGGTTGTAGGGTAGAAGAAAGAGCGTCCTGTGCATTACCGGGTGTTTAGCAGCAGGCCGGACTCTACACACTTAATGTTAGTGGCCCCCTGATTTGCGACAAACAAAAATGCCTCTTAGTTTTTTAACTCTTTTAGAATTTGTCCAGCATGTTTTTTGGTGTTAATAAAAACCCGCACACAGAGAAATGCTTCTGGACGTTGCCAAATTCCCCCAGGGAAACAAAATTGCCCTCGGTTGAGAACCACTGAGTTACAGGGATAAAATTATCAGATGTGTTCGTTTTATAAAAGAATTTAATAATATTTTAAAGCATATCACATATATTTTTGCCGAGGCTGGTCTATTTGATTGGAAGAAGAGTCCATTTTCCTCCCGCATATCCCCTTTTGGAGTTGGGAGTGCATTCTGAGAGAAGCTGTGCTCAGATTATTTGGAATCTGCACCCTAGTGAGGAGCGAGGTTGAAGCTGAAGTCCTTAAGTATGACAGAAGCATGGGTGGGAAGGTACCGAAAGACCAAAGAATTTGGGGATGGGGAGGTAGGAAAGGTGTCTCCAAACTCACATGCATATACATATTTTCCTTAACACCTGAGGTGAAAGAACACCCCTGTTATATCTTGTCTGTTCTAAAGAGATGTGGTGAAGAGAATTTGCAGTGAGTTAAGAATCACTAAAGTTTCTGTGATTCAGTGAAATTGCCTTTGAAACATTGTAGGAGTGTCTTATATTTGATAGAAGATTAAAAAAATGCATGGCATGGGCATTTTCTAGGGCTCTGAGTACTCTTAATAGACCCTTATCTCTGGATGTGAATTCATGAGGTTCAAAGGTCCCTGCCAGTCAAATGGCAAACTATGGAATTTCCCTGTCCTCTAGAGATTGCTTTACTGTCTACTGAGGTTGATCATCTTTTTCATATGGTTATTGGCCATTTATTTTTCTTTAGTGAATTGTCTTCTTGCCCTTTGCTTACATTTCAGTCACAACATTGGTTTTCCCATTTCCTTTTTTCCTTTTCACTGTCGAATTATAACAGTTTTTATGTATCTTTACATTGTAAAGTTATTAATGTTGTAATCCTTATTTGCCTGTTTTTATCCTTATTCAGTGTTTATTTTTGCCCATTCTCTGACCTTTGACATTTCTGCATTTTGTATTAAATTGTTATAGTTAGGTTCCAGTTGTTTGATGCAATCCTTTTGTCTTTATATAAACAGTTGAGTTTATCTTATTTAGTCTCACTGTAGATGTGTTTAATCTTTTCCATCTGCTTTTTATGCATTCATATTGGCTTTTGTTTTGTTTTTAATCTCTTGATAATGGGGCTCAATTTTCAGATATACTTTTAAGATATGTTTATGCCTTTATTTCTCAAATTGCTTCAGAAACAAAATAGTGTCTATTGTGATCTTCCTTATTCTCATAACACTTAAGGATGTGTTGGCATGTTCTGAGATTTTTATTCTTGTTTATTACAGTTAAATGATTATTTTTCTGTTTTGTGGCATATACTTCAAAAACAATATTTATTTTCTGATTTTCTAACTTTATTTCCACAGATCCTTTGCATTGAGTATCTGCTTATCTTTCACAAGACAGCTTCCTCATTTGTGAGTCTTCGTATGAGTAATTTCAGTGGTCAGATTCTGTCTTCATGATAATTTTTTTCTCCTCAAGAAAGTGCACATGAGTGATACACGTCCTGAGTTCCTTTTCTGTAGACTTCATGTGAGACCATAGCTTCTCATGCTCTAGAATTCTGTCATAACCATTATTGATGTATAAATGACATACAATAAACTGCATGTGTTTAAATTATGTAATTTAAAAAGTTGGCATAATTATGTACCTGTGAAATTATTACTACAATCAAGATAATGGACATACGTGTCACCCTTAAAAGTCTACTTGTGCCCCTTGGTAATCCCTTTACGCTCCTTATCTTTAGGCAACCACCAGTCTGCTTTCTGTCACTGTCAGGAAGTTTACATTTTAAAACACTTTATATAAATGGAGTCATACAGAATGTACTTTTTTGAGGGTCTGGGTTGTTCCACTCAGCATAATTATTTTGAGATTAATCTGTGTTGTTTTGTATATCAATAGCTTATTCTTTTTATTGCTGAGTCGTATTCCATTGTACGGATATAACACAACTCATGTGTCTGTTCACCTGGATACGTGGAAGTTTGGGCTGGTGGAAATTTGGGCTGTTCCAATACTGAGCTGTAACAAAGCTGCTACGAACATTTATGTACAAGCCATTCATTGTACGGACAAATGCTTTTGTTTCTCTTGGGCATATATCTAGGAGTGGAGTGATTTGGTCATATGGTAGGTGTATGTTTAACTTTGTAAGAAATTGGCTTCAAACTATACTACAAGGCTATAGTAACCAAAACAACATGGTACTGGTACCAAAACAGGTATGTAGACCAATGGAACAGAACAAAGGCCTCAGAAATAATGACATTTATGCAGCCAACAAACATAAGAAAAAAAAACTCATCATCACTGGTCATTAGAGAAATGCAAATCAAAACCACAATGAGATACCATCTCACACCGGTTAGAATGGCAATCATTAAAAAGTCAGGAAACGACAGATGCTGGGGAGGATGTGGAGAAATAGGAACGCTTTTACATTGTTGTGGCATGTGTCAGAATTTTCTTCCTCTTTAAGACTGGATCGTATTCCCTTGTATGTATAAATCACATTTTGTTTATCTGTTCACCTGTCAATGGGCATTTGGGTTGCTTCTACCCCTTAATGGTTGTGAATAATACTGCTGTGAATGTGGGTTCATGCAGTATCTTTTTGAGCCCCTGTTTTCAGTTCTTTAGGGTATATACACAGAAGTGGGATTGCGGGTCGTATGGTAATTCTATGTTTAATTTTTTTGGGAACCACAATACTGTTTTCCATAGTGGCTACACCATTTTAATATTCACACTAACAGTGCACAAAGGTTCCAGTTTCACCACATCCTTGCCAAAGATCCTTATTTTCTTTTTAAAATTTTAAATAGTAGTCATCCAAACAGGTATGAAGTGGTATCATTGTGGTTTTGATTTGCATTTCCCTAATGGTTAGTGATGTTGAGCATCTTTTAAAGTGCCTACTGGCCATTTGTGTATTTTCTTTGGAGAAATGTTTGAGTCCTTTGCCCACCTTTTAGTTTGGTTGTTCTTCTGTTATTGAGTTGCAGGAGTTCTTGATATATTCTAGATATTAATCTCATCAGATATTTGATTTATAAATATTTTCTCCCACTGCATGGGGAATAGATGTAATTTTCATAATAAAAAGTTAAAGAAATTTTTCTTTACAGAAAATAGAAGAGCTCAACCAATACCAACTCATTTACCACCCAGACTCAACGGTTATTACCATTTTGCTGTGTTTGCTTTATCCATACACCTCCCCACACACACAAATTATTTTGCCAAGACATCTCAAAGAAAATTAAGGACACCCTTACACTTTACCTAGTACGCATCTTGAAAAAATTAGGACAGTTTTCTACATCTGCCACATTTTCTGCATAAACAGTCTCCAAAATACTATTTCAAAATAATATATATTATTGGGAAAAAATAATGCTGTTTTTTCTCATTTTGATGTAGCAGATAACCTTTTGGGATAAGTTCACTGATGGTATTCCTTATAGCATTGGCATTTTCTCGTACATCAATAAGAACTTCCATTTCTTCATCACCTGAACTACAGCTGTTGCCTCCAACTTCCTACTTTTTCTCATCTTCCTTATCTTTAAAACCTAAAGTAGACCAAACTTCTTCCCATGACTTCCTTACAAGGCAGAGCATTATCTGGCCTCTGCTTAGCCCTCCAGTCTCATTTTCTCCTTCTCTCCCAGCTCCAGCAGAGAGACCTGCCATCTGTTTCTTGAACATACCAACCTCTGCTCTCTATGAGGGCCTTCACATGTGCTGTTTTCTCTACCACCATCCATCCCACTGCCACACTGCTTTTTTTAATCCTTCAGGTTTTTATGTAAATATTGTCTCTTCAGACAGGCCTTCCTTCATGATGTGTTTAAGTATGGCAACTATTTATTCCTGTTCACAGCACCTTTTCAATATTTTGATAATCCTATTTCAGTATATAAATATGTATTTTTAAATGACTATCTCCCTCACACACACCACCCACTGTACCTTGAGTTCCATGACAGTGGGAATCATTACCACCAGCACCTGGCAAGCAGTTAGTGAGCAGGGAACAGTCCGAGGCACAGCAGCCTCACAAAGTGATTGTCAAAGGGGCTGTTCTCAGGATGTGTCGGTTTGGCACACTTTTAAAAATCCATCGCATTACTTTCTGTTACTTCATGTGTGTTTACAATTTGATCTAGTCATTGTATGTGATTTGGAGACCAGGTTTAACCTTAAAATCCAAATGGGTATAAAATGAATGTTGAAACTAAAATAGAATATTTTGGATATTCCATATGTCTGTAATATAAATATTTGGCTTCAGTTTTTTAATCATTATTTTATTCCTTTTACAGACCGAGACAACACTTGGACTCAGTTCATATCAGCAGAAAAGGTAAGTATATTTAATAAGATAATTAACATACTTTCGGTTCCTTCTGGGGGATTCCTGTGGTTCTCCCTCCTCTTTCCCCTTGCTCATTTTGGTGAAGAAGGAATAGCAAATTGTAAATCACATTATATGATTATTTCTAAGTGTTGTGTGTGGGAAACCAGGTTTAAGTTTGAATGTGCACATCATGCAATTGTGTAGCATGCCTCCCCTGTCGTGTACGAAGGGCTGTTACTCAGCTGAAACTCCCCTTGCTTTGTGAGATGATCAGCTGTGTAACTCCTTAGAGGCTTCTCTTGTGGCTATCCCTGCTTTTGATGTACTGACCACTGCTGCCCCCAGTTACCAGGGGTCTGCCCGCAGGCCCCCAGAGAAGGATCTCAGACCTGCGAAACCCAGTCTTGTGACTTGGAGAGACCGCTTTTAAATACAGCTTCCCTGTGATAACAGGGGGATGGTTTTACCTCAGGTGTTAAGGAAAATAGGTACATGCATGTGAATTTGGAGACACTTTTCCTGCCTCCTCACAACCAAATTATTTGGTCTTTTGATACCTTCTCACATCTGTAAAGAGACATACTGTGCTGATTCTCTTTCTATATGCGGTGAAAGTCTGTTCTGGTGCCTAAAGGTGAGAGAGAGCTTTCTTTGAGTTGGATAAAACAGTCCCTCCAGCAGCTATTTTGTGTTCACTCCCAGCCCTTAATGATTGCTCCCCGGAGGACCATAGATGTAAAGGAAGTTAGCTTAGAAGATTCAGCGTAATGGTATAGTTGCTCTTCCTGTTTGCCAGAAACAACTAGTCAGGCACCAGTACCTGTTCTAGTGAGCGCCCTTTAGTAACAATTGAACGGCTGGCAGTGGTGTCAATAGGGCTTTCAGGTAAGGAGCCCACATCATGGATTTAAGAACCCAGTTATTTTACAGTGTGTGTTTTTAGAAGTATGTTTTATTCTGTCAGTATATTTATTCCTTAAATGACAGCAAGGCAAATTTATCCTTAAAAATTATTACTATCCACTGAAATCAGACACTTAGCTACCAAAGTGGCTATGGCAACAGAAGGTGTCCCCACCCTTGCTGTCATCACTGCAGTTTCCATTCTGATGTAGCAGGAACAGGGAAGCATTTGTTCCTCCTAGGCCTTCATGTTTAAAGTACATCTATGAATGTCTCCAGACTAGCGAAATGCAGACTGCATCAACAAAGAATTTTGCTTTGAGAGAGAAATATAAAATATTCAGACTATTAGGAGGACAATTAAAACTTCTTACCTCATAAATAATGAAAATTCTTTAGTATTCACTATTTTTTCTCTTTTTACTCTTTCATCTCTGCAGTAACATGGCCCTTTTCCCCCATTGTTCTGTCATTCTCTCTAATATTATATGCCCTGTTGGGACCTGCCCTGTCTGTGAATCTTGCCCAAATATTTAACACTGGCATGGGTTGTCTCCAAACCACTGCATGTTTAGCCTGATTCCTCCTTGGCTGGACCATCTAAGAACCCTAGAACTCTCTAACCACATCTAGAGCCAAAATAATGGTGAGAAAAACATATATGTTATCTTGTGATTCTTCCTTGATTCTTTATTCCAGCAATTAGGAAATTAGCTGTGGAATTAGACTGCACTACATTTACGAAGATGAGGATGTTCATTCGTGATCAAAATTTGGGCTTTAAGTATTTTCCTAGTATAATGAAGAATTGACATCAGTACATAATTATATTCTCATCTCATGCTCTACTTATCTATTATCTACTTCTATCTAAAAGTTAGTGGCATAAAATAACCATTTTATGATGCTCTCAAACTCTGTCAGAAATTCAGGCAGGGGACAGCAAAGACAGCTTGTCTCTTCTCCATGATCTGGGGACTCAGCTGGGGAGATTTCAGAGTTGGAAATGACTTGATGGCTGGGAGCTGGAGGCATGTTCATTACATGTTGATGCTAGTTTCTAGCTGGGACCTCAGCTGAGCTCTCAACTAGAATGCCTATATGTAGGCCTCTTTGTGTGGCCTTCACATGGGCTAGTTTGGGCTTCCTCCTAGTATGATGGCTGGACTCCAAGAGTGAATGTCCCAGAGGAAACTAGTGAAAGCTGTATCACCTTAATCTGCCCTTGGAAGTCATAATATTACTTCTGCTGCCATATGCTATTAGTCAGCAAGTCACTTAGATTGGCCTAGATTCAAGATAAGGGTGGGGAGAAAGAGCTCCGTACCTACTGATGACAGGAATATTAGGTTTGTAGACAGAATTTACAACTGTCACATTTTACATTTTGTGTGTGTGTGACCAGGATCATGAGTTGGGTAAATATTTAATTCAAATTAGTATGCAGATTGGGTATGGGACTGGGTTAAGCCCTAAAACATGTCTTAGTGAGTCCAGGATGCTATAACAAAATACCATAGACTGAGTGGCTTAAACAACAGACATTTATTTCTCACAGTTCTAGAGGCTCAGAAGTCTAGGATCAAGGGCTTGCAGACTTGGGCCTGGCAGACTGTTTTGATGCTGATGAAAGACTGATAACCATATGGACCACTAACATATACCTTAGGTGTCTTGATACCCCTTACAACTAAACCCTGAGAGGCTTACAGCATCCGTTTATAAGACCCTCTTCAAAAGCACAGCTTTCTTTTAGAGTAGATTGCATTTTGTCATTTCATCAACACATATGCTTTATAACCTCATCAGAAGTGGTGTCTCCAATATCCTCCAGAGGTATTTGGGTGTGTTTAACGGCCAGAGGATATTGGCAGATCTCATTTTCTACAGGCTTTGTGCTACAGAGGCTTATCTTGAGGAGGGCCGGTGGCATCCAGGTGATGCCTGTTCCTCTACAGAGAATTTAATACATCAATTTTATGTGTTCAGCAATTTAAAGGAAGACATGAACATAATGAGGGAAAATGGACAGTATGAAAAAGAAACAAATGAAGCCTCTAGAGTTGAAAAATGTTGTTTCTGAAATGAGTATTTCACTGGATAGGATTAAGAACAACCTAGACATTGCAAAAGAAAAGCTTAGTGAGTTTGAAGACAGTGACAGCAGTAATTTAAACTGAAGCACAGGGAGAAAAATGACTAAAAAACAAATAAACCCTTGGTGACCTCTGGTACAGTAGTAGCAAGCAGTCTAACACATGTCTAAGTGAGTTCCTAGGAATTGGGAGAGGGAGGAGCTGTCAAAGAACTTTAATAAACCTGAAGCAAGAGTAACACAGAAAGTCACACCAAGCCAGATAATATTCAAGTTGTCGAAAATCAGTCATAAATAGAGAAACAGCCAGGGAAGAAAACTAAATATAGTAGTTCAAAAGATAGGAATGACTGCTGGTTGTTCATCAAGGACAAATGCCACCCCAAAACCAATGAAATGACATTTTTAAAGTACCAAAAGAAAAAATCGCTAATCTAAAACACTGCTTCCAGCAGGAATATCCTTCAAAAAAAATGAAGACATTTTCAGACAAAACTGAGAAAATTTGCAGTAGACTGGCACTTTTAAGAAATGTTACAGGCTAAAGGTAGTTAACCATTTGAGGTGAAAACACGGATCCTACGAAGAACAAAGACCACCAAAAAGGCAAAAATATGTGGAAAAATATAAAAAATGTTTTCTGGTTAACAAAATGTTAATTTCTAACATTTTAAAAACAAAAATGATTGTTTATAACATGTATACATTGCATATGTGATAACAGCACAAAGGACAGGAGGGTTGCATGGAAGAATTGAGTTGTAAGGTTCTTAGATGTTATGTAAAGTAGTACAATATTATTTGAAGTTAAACTGTGGTAATATGAAATAAGCCCCACACGAAACATTAAAATCAAAAAAAAAAAAAGAACTATAGCCAATAAACTAGTCACGAAGATAGAATGAAATACTAAATGAATACTCAGTTGATCTAAAAGAAGGCATAAACAGAACAAGAGGAATAAAAAGCAGATGGGAAAAATAGAAAACAAATGGCAATATGGCAGACTTAAACCCAAACATATCAGAAACCGTAGTAAATGAATAATTTCAACACCAATTGTCAGATTATATTTAAAAAGCAAGACCCAAGCATATTTTGTCTACAAGAACTTTATTTTAATTTTGTATTTAATATTTTACCTTTTGTTTTGAAATAATTTTAGAGAAAAGATGGAAAAATAGTACAAATAATTCTTATATCTTCTTGACCCAAATTCCTCATTTGTTAATGTTTTTTCATATTTGCTTTATCACTCCTAATCTCTCTTTTTTAACTCTCTCCTTTTCCTTCCCTCCCCATAGCTACCTTTTTATACATACATGTACATGTATTTATAATTTTTCTGAAGCATTTGAAAATCATTTGTAGACATGATGCTATTTTACCCCTAAATATTTCAGTGTATATTTCTTATAAACATGAACATTGTTTTAGAGATCATCATATACTCATCAAATTCAGGAAATTAAGACTGTCTCATACTGCTGTTTAATCTAGAGGCCTCATTGGAATTTTGTAAATTGTCCCATTAACGTCTTTTATTTTAAAAAATTTGGGGTCCAGGGTTCAGACCCTCATATTTAATTTTCACTTCTCTTTAGTCTCTAATGTAGAACTATTGATTTGTCTTTCTTACTCTCTTAGAACTTTGACATTTTTGAAGAGTAGATGCTGTTTATTTTATAGAATAACCCAGATGGGCCTGGGCACGGTGGCTCACAGCCTGTAATCCTAGCACTTTGAGAAGCTGAGGCGGTGGATTGCCTGAGTTTAGGAGTTCGAGACCAGCTTGGGCAACACGGTGAAACCCCATCTCTACTAAAATACAAAATGCGCCTGTAATCCCAGCTACTCAGGAGGCTGTGACAGGAGAATTGCTTGAACCCGGGAGGCGGAAGTTGCATTGAGCCGAGATTGCGCCATTGCACTCCAGCCTGGGCAAGACTCCCTCTCAAAATAAATAAATAAATAAATAAACAAACAAACCCAGCTAGAGTTTTCTGATATTTACTCATTATTTGATTCAGAATTTGCATTTTTGGTGGAATATTACTGAAGTTTGTGTCTCTCCCAATGCATCCTATCAGGAAGCACTTGGCGTCTCTTTGTTCCATTTTTCTCTTATAATTCATAAGTGTCTTGCAGAGAAGTACTTTGAGACTATGCAAGTACTGTGTTTTACATGAAACTCTGACTAGTTTTAGAATCTACTGATGATTCTTGCCTGGAACAGTTATTGCGCTGGCTGGGTTTTCTAAAAATTCTATCACACTTAATCTATGTTTCTTAGTTGACATTCTGATTGAAGTTAAGATTGAGGTCACAGTTCATTTTTATCCAGGTATTTCACCATCATTTGCGCTGTCATAAAAAAATCGCACGTGCTTAGTTAGGTCTATTCTGTGTCATTTACGTGTCCCCAGCAATCATTGAGCACTTCTTACTTTCTGGTATGTTAGGATGTTCCAGGCTTGTTTTGTAATTTCCTTGCCACAGCCCTGGAACAACCTATTTCTTGAAAGACTCCTGCTTCATTTTAGTGGAAGATAATATTGAAAAATTAATCTTTATGTGCCATGTGTACTCATTGCTACTGTAATGTATTAGGATTCTCTTAGAGGGACAGAACTGTTAGGATAAATATATAAAGGGGAATTTATTAAGTATTAATTTACACGATCACAAGGTCCCACAATAGGCCGTCTGCAAGCTGAGGAGCAAGGAGAGCCAGTCTGAGTCCCAAACTGAAGAACTTGGGAGTCCAGCGTTCAAGGGCGAGAACCATCCAGCACAGGAGAAAGATGTAGGCTTGGAGGCTAGGCCCATCTCTCTTTTCATGTTTTCCTGCCTGCTTTATATTTGCTGGAAGCTGATTAGATTGTGCCCACCAGATTAAGGGTGGATCTGCCTTCCCCAGCCCACTGACTCAGATGTTAATCTCTTTTTGGCAACACCCACACAGACACACCCAGGATTAATACTTTGTATCATATCCTTCAATCTAATCAAGTTAACACTCAGTATTAACCATCACAAGTGGTGTCATTATTAGTGAGGTGTCATTATCTCTAGACTCTTAGTAAAAGGAAGAAAATGTTTATGTTTATGTGTATAAATATGTACAGTATACACAAACATATTCCTATTCTTGTATCTGTGTATATTAAAAACCGTGAGTTACTGATGCCTCCAATTTTGATACAAAACCAGTGTTCTGTCTATTCTGTTTCTGTCCATTCTCCAACAATGAGAAATCTGGCTCCAGTTATCTGTCTACAGTAAGTGTATTGATTTGTTCAATCCTAGAATACAGATAAATTAGTTTCAAAATTGTTAACTGTTACAGCCATAAAAAAAGAGTACGGTGTTTAGAGTTCATGTTTTTTCTTTAGTCTGAGTGTATATTGTCAAAATACTGTATTCTAAATTTACATGGGTTATAATGTTCTTCATCTTTCTCTTCATCCTTCTCCCACCCCCACACCCATCTGTGTTGTACATTTTAAATGAAGTTTAGTTTATTTGTTTCTCTCTGTATCCCATTTAGGATTTTTACTCTACTTTAAAATTTTTTTTTATTATTGCATAATACATATTGATGGGGTACATGTGATAGTTTGATACATGCATAGACTGTGTAATGATCAAATCAGGGTGTTTAGGATATGCATCACCTTGAACATTTATCATTTCTTTGTGTTAGGAACATTTCCAATCTTCTCTTCTAGTGACTTTGAAATATGCAATATATGGTTGCTAACTATAGTCACTCTGCCCTGCTGTTAAAAACTAGGGCTTATTCCTTCTGTCTGTTAATAACTGTATACTTGAGCCCAGTAGCCTACCTCTCTTCATCCTCCCTCTCACACCAAAAAGCAAATGCTTCCCAGCCTCTGGTGACTGTCATTCTACTCTTTACCTTCACAAGATAAACTTTTTTAGCTCCCTTCTATAAGTCAGAACATGCAATATTTGCTTTTCAGTGCCTTGCCTGTTTCACTTAACATAAACTCCAGTTCCATCTATGTTGCTGAAAATAACAGGATTTTATTGTTTTTTATGGCTGAATAATATTCCATTGTGTTTAATATATACCTATTTTCTTTGTTCATCCATTGATGGACACTTAGGTTGATTTCATATCTTTGCTACTGTGAATAGTGCTACGGTAAACCTGGGGTTGCAGGTGTATCTTTGAAATACTGATTTCTTTCCCTTTGGATAAATAGCCAGTAGTGGAATTGCTGGGTCAACTCTTATCTCTCACCATATACAAAAATCAACTCAAAATGGATTAAAGACTTATATCTAAGACCCGAAACTATAAAACTACTTGAAGAAAACGTAGAGGAAATGTTCCAAGACATTGATGTAGGCTAAGATTTTAGGGCTAAGATCTCAAAAGCATAAGCAACAAAAATATCCCCATTTAAAAAATTTACTTTTGTGCCATTATTTTTTTACCCACTGTCCTATATATGAGCATTTCATTTGTTTCCCGTATTTTGCAATTGCAAACAGTGCTTCAAAGAATAATCTCTTGTGTATGTATTTTCATATTTTTGAAGGTTATATTCAGGGTAAATTCCTACAACTTGAATTGCTCAATCAAAAGATAAGTGTAGCTGTAATTTGTATTGTTGAATGTATATGTTTAGAAATGACTAACGGTTATATGAAGAAATGCTCTGCATGGCCAGTCATCAGGAATGCTAATCAAAACAAAGATGCATTATCATCTCACACCTGTTAGAAAGGCTGTCATCAAAAAGACAAAAGATAACAAATATTGACCAAGAATGTGTAGAAAAGGGAACCCTGGTTCACTGTTGGTGGGAATGTAAATTAGTATAGGTATTATGGAAAACAGTGTGGCAGTTGCTAAAAAAAATTAAAAATAGAACTGCTATGTGATCCAGCAAATTCATAACTAGGTATATATACAAGAGAAATGAAATAATTATGTCAAAGAGATAGCTGCATTCTCATGTTCATTGAAGCATTATTCACAATAGCCAAGACAGGGAGGAATCAACCTAAGTGTTCATCAGTGGACACGTGGATAATGAAAATGTGGGGGTGTATGTGTGTGTGTCTGTGTGGATTCTTAATAGTATTCCACACATATATAGTGGAATACTGTTAAGCCTTAAAAAATAAGGAAATCCTGTCATTTATGACAACATGGATGAACTTGGAGGACATTATGTTAAATGTGATAAGCCAAGTACAGAAAGATGAATAATGCATGATCTCACTTAAATGGAGAATATAGAAGCAGAGAGTAGAATGGTGGTTACCAGAGCTTGAGGGTGGGGACCAGGGAGATTTGAGAGATGTTAGTCAAAAGACACAAAATTTCAGTTAGAAGGTGTAAGTTCAGCTTAGCAGTTTTTGGACTTTATGATGGTGCCAAAGCACAGTATATGTTCAGTAGAAACAGTATTTCACATTTTGAATTTTGATCTTTCCTGGGCTAGCTGTACAATACTCTTGCAGCTTTCAGTCAGCCACACAATTCAGAGAGTAAACGACTGATACTCTACCTGTACCATGTTACCAGATGACTTTGCCCAACAGTAGTCTAATGTAAGTGTTCTGAGCATGTTTAAGGGGAGACTAGGCTACCTTAAAAGTAAGTTGGTGTATTAAATACATTTTTGACTTGTGATTTTCAACTTATGATGGATTTATTGGTATGTCACCTCATCATAAGTCAAGAAGCATCCGTATTGTGTACTTGAAAATTGCTGAGAGAGTAGATTTTGTGTTCTTACCATAAAAGACAACTATGTGAGGTAATGCATGCATTAGCTCAATGTAGCCATTCTACAATGTGTACATATTTTAAAATATGTTGTACATCATAAATATATACAGTTTTCACTTGTCAAATAGGGAAAGGGATAGATATAAAGTTTATGTGTAGGATAAATTCCTGGAAGTGGGGTTGGTGAGTCAAAAGTAAATGCTGACATTGTTTCATTAAGCATTGACAGATTCTCCTTCAAGGTCTGTGCCACCTTGCATTCCCTCATTGGTGAAAAAAAGTGCCTGTTTCCCACATCCTTTCCAACAGAATGTGTTACATTTTTTATTTTTGCTGATCTGATAGGTCAGAAATTTTATCACAGTGTAGTTTTAGTTTGTCTTTAATTATGTGTGAGGTTAACCATCTCCTGGTATTTAAGAGCCATGCTTATATTTGTCTCTTGATGTTGTCTCTTCATAACTGTTCTACCCATTTTTCTATAGTGCTTTTAATTTTTTCTGATTCAGTTAAGAGTTCTTTATATATTGGAGATATTAGTCCTATTTTGCAAGTGTCTTCTCCTGTTCATCAGTAGTCTTGATTTTGAAGAAATACACTTCTTCGTAAGTATGCAAGTAGGTTAAATGTAAAAAGACCTAGGAAAACAAGTAAACACTAATCTTTAAAATGCTGGGATGGTTATGTTACTCTCAGACAAAGTAGACTTTAGGACAGGGAATATTATCAGAGATAAAGAAGGACATTTTACAATTATGAAGGAGACAGTTCCCCAGGTAGATACAACAATCCCAGATTCTAATATTGGAGCTTTAAAGTACGTGAAGGAAAAAAATGAATAAAACTAAGGGAAGATTTCAACATTCATCTGTTAGTAACTGATAAAATAGATGGAAAATCAGCAAGGGTGTAGATTTGAAGAACACTATTAAGTAACTTGACCTAATAGGTATTTATTAAACACTACATCCACCAAGAGCAGATTATATAGATTATACTCTCTGATTATAGCAAAATTAAATTAGAAATCAGTAACAATGAAAATCCAGATATTTTATAATTAGAAATTAAACCAGAAGCTTTTCAATACTCATGGGTTAAGAAAGAAATCATAAGGGATATTAGAAAATGCTTTGAAAACAAAAGTACAACATATCTTAGTCTGCTTGGGCTAGACTGCCATAACAAAATACCATAAACTGGGTGGCTTAAACAATAGACATTTATTTTCTCACAGTTTGGAATCTGGAAGTCTGAAATCAGGTGTCAGCGTAGTCACTTTACACTGAGACCTGTTTTCCTAGCTTGTAGGTGGCAGCCATTCCACTGTGTAACTCACATGCCCTCTTTGTGCACATGTGTGCATGGGGGCTTTCTGGTGTCTCTTTTTGTAAGGATACTAATCCCATTATATTAGGGCCCCCACCATTATAACCTCATTTAACCTTAATTGCCTGCTTATAGACCCTGTCTCCACATAATAGTCATAGTGGGGATTAGGGCTTCAATATGTGAATTTTGGAGGTAGCGGGTGGGGTGGGGGAGAATTCAATTCATAGAACAACATACCAAGTTTTCTGGAATTTAGCCAAAGCAGTATTTAAATAGACATTTATAGCTTTAAAAGTTTATATCAGATAGAAGAAAAATTTTATAATGAACAATTTACATTTCCAGTTTAAGACATAGAGCATCAGCTTTAAATAGAAGAAAATAAAGGATATACTAGAAATCAATTAAATAGAAAGTGAAAAAAAATCAATGTAAACTAAAACTGATTCTTTGAATGTAGCTAGATTGGTTAAGAAAGGCAGACAAAAAAAATCAGTAATGAAATAGGGGATATCACTACAGATCTTATAAACATTCAAAGAATAAGAGAAATTATGAATCCCTTCATTCTCAAATTCAGCAATTTAGATGAAGTGGTCAAATACTTGAAAGATACAAATTATTAAAACTAACCAAGAGAGAATTAGAAAATTAGTTTTTAAATATCTGTTAAAGACATAGAATTTACAGTTTTAAACCTTTCCACAAAGAAAACTGCAGGCTCATATGACTAAACTGGTAAATTCGATCAGACACCTAGTGAAAAATTACTAGTCTTACATAAACGCTTTTAGAAAAGAGGAATAGAATGTCCTTCCTTACACGTTTTATGAGGTGATTATTGCAGGCATTAAAGAAAGCTAGAAGCGACATCTCTTCAAACATATATTCAGAAATCTCTAACAGAATATTAGCAAATCAAATCCAGAAACGTGATAACAGGGTAATGCATCATGGCCAACAGGGTTTTATCCTAGGAATGCAAGATTATTATTTGAAAACAATATAATTTTTCTTGTTAACAAAATTTTAAACGCCTTTGTAATTATTTGAATAGATGTAGAAAAAGCCTGTGACAACATTCAGCATCTGTTCAGCACATTAAGAATAGAGAAGAATGTCTTTAACCTGATAAAGAGTATCTATGGAAAAGTAACAGTTAACATGGTATTAATGGTAAAAGATTGAATGCTTTCTTTCTAAGATTGGGAAAGTGGCAAGGATGTCCACTTTCATCACTTACATTAAACATTGTACTGGATGTGGTAGTCATTACATTAAGACAAGAAACAGAAATAAGAGCCATCAGATTGGAAAGGAAAAACAAAAAGGATTTTGTCTACAAACCATGTGATTGTGTGCATAGAAAGTCCTAAGGAATATACCAAAAAGTAATACAGTCAGTAATCAGAAGTAACTGATTTCTTCATAACAAATACAAAAATAAAATGTTGTAGAAAAATGTGATTTACAATGGCATAAATCACTGCATACTTTGGGATAAATTTAACAAAAAAAATGTTGAGACCTGTACACTGAAAACTGTAATATAGAGTAATTAAAGAACTCCTAGATATATTGAGAAAGATTCCGCGTTCATGGATTAGAAGACTGTGAAGATGATAATTCTCCCCAGATCAGTTTTAGATTAAGCAATTCCAATAGAAATTTCAACAGACAATTTTTTTTTTTAGAAATTGATAAGCTGCTTTTCAAGATTAGATGGAAAACGTTAAGCATCTAGAATAGACCAAACAAGTTTTAAAAAGAAAAACATCAGAAGATTTAAACTACATGTTTTGAAGATCAAGTTTAAAACTTCTTGTCCAGATGTGTCAAGGTAATTCAATGGCACAAGAATACTCCTTTTCAGCAGGGGTTACAATCCTAGTCTCTGATGAAACAGACTTGAAACCAACAAAGATCAAAAGAGACAAAGAAGGGCATTACATAATGGTAAAGGGATCAATGCAACAAGAAGAGCTAACTATCCTAAATATATATGCACCCAATACAGGAGCACCCAGATTCATAAAGCAAGTTCTTAGAGACCTACAAAGAGACTTAAACTCCCACACAATAATAGTGGGAGACTTTAACATCCACTGCCAATATTCGACAGATCAACGAGACAGAAAATTAACAAGGATATTCAGGACCTGAACTCAGCTCTGGACCAAGCAAACCTAATAGACATCTGCAGAACTCTCCACCCCTAATCAACAGAATATACATTCTTCTCAGCACCAGATCACACTTATTCTAAAATTGACCACATAATTGGAAGGAAAACACTCCTCAACATATGCAAAATAACAGAAATCATAACAGTTTCTCAGATCACAGTGCAATCAAATTCGAACTCAGGATTAAGAAACTCACTTAAAACTGCACAACTACAGGGAAGTTGAACAACCTGCTCCTGAATGACTACTGGGTAAATAATGAAATGAAGGCAGAAAAAAGATGTTCTTTGAAACCAATGAGAACGAAGACACAATGTACCAGAATCTCCGGGACACATTTAAAGCAATGTGCAGAGGGAAATTTATAGCACTAAATGCTCACAAGAGAAAGCAGGAAAGATCTAGAATCGACACCATAACATCAAAATTAAAAGAACTAGAGAAGCAAAAGCAAACAAATTCAAAATCTAGCAGAAGATAAGAAATAACTAAGATCAGAGCAGAACTGAAGGAGATAGAGACACAAAAAACCCTTCAAAAAATCAATGAATCCAGGAGCTGTGTTTTTGAAAAGACCAACAAAATAAATCACTAGCCAGACTAATAAAGAAGAAAAGAGAGAAGAATCAAATCGATGCAATAAAAAATGATAAAGGGGATATCACCATTTATCTGACAGAAATAAAAAACTACCATCAGAGAATACTATAAACACCTCTACGCAAATAAACTAGAAAACCTAGAAGAAATGGATAAATTCTTGGACACATACACCCTCCTAAGTCTAAATCAGGAAGGAGTCGAATCCCTGAATAGACCAATAACAAGTTCTGAAATTGAGGCAGTGATTAATAGCCTACCAACCAAAAAAAGTCCAAGACCAGACAGATTCACAACCAAATTCAACCAGAGGTACAAAGAGGAGCTGGTACCATTCCTTCTGAAACTATTCCAATCAATAGAAAAAGAGAGAATCCTCCTTAACTCATTTTATGAGGCCAACATCGTCTGATCCAAAACCTGGCAGAGACACATCAAAAAAAGAAAATTTCAGGCAAATATCCCTAATGAACATCGATGCGAGAAGCCTCAATAAAATCTGGCAAACCAAATCCAGCACCACACCAAAAGGCTTATCTACCACGATCAAGTTGGCTTCATCCCTAGGATGTAAGGCTGGTTCAACGTATGCAAATCAATAAACGTAATCCATCACATAAACAGAACCAACGACAAAAACCACATGACTATCTCAATAGATGCAGAAAAGGCCTTCGACAAAATTCAACACCCCTTCATGCTAAAAACTGTCAATAAATTAGGTATTGATGGAACATATCTCAAACTAATAAGAGCTATTTATGACAAACCAACAGCGACTATCAAGCTGAATGGGCAAAAACTGGAAGCATTCCCTTTGAAAACTGGCACAAGACAAGGATGCCTTGTCTCACCACCCCTATTCAACACAGTATTGGAAGTTCTGGCCAGGGCAGTCAGGCAAGAGAAAGAAATAAAGAGTATTCAAATAGGAAAGGAGGAAGTCAAGTTGTCTCTGTTCGCAGATGAAATGATGGTATATTTACAAAACCCCATCATCTCAGCTCAAAATATCCTTAAGCTGATAAGCAACTTCAGCAAAGTCTCAGGATACTTCACTGTGCAAAAATCACAAGCGTTCCTATACGCTAATAACAGACAGCCAAATCATGAGTAACTCCCATTCACAATTGCTACAAAGAGAACAAAATACCTAGGAATCCAACTTACAAGGGATATGAAGGACGTCTTCAAGAAGAACTACAAACCACTGCTCAAGGAAATTAAGAGAGGACACAAACAAATGGAAAAACTTTCCATGCTTATGGATAGGAAGAATCAATATCGTGAAAATGGCCATACTGCCCAAAGTAATTTATAGATTCAATGCTGTCCCCATCAAGCTACTATTGACTTTTCTTCACAGAATTGAAAAAAACTACTTTAAACTTCATATGGAACGAAAAAAGAACCCACGTAGCCAAGACAACTCTAAGCAAAAAGAACAAGGCTAGAGGCATCATGCTACCTGACTTCAAATTATTCTGCAAGGCTGCAGTAACCACAACAGCATGGTACTGGTACCAAAACAGATACATAAACCAATAGAACAGAAGTGAGGCCTCAGAAATAACACCACACATCTACAGCCATCTGATCTTTTGACAAACCTGACAAAAACAAGCAATGCAGAAAGGATTCCCTATTTAATAAATGATGTTGGGAAAACTGGCTAGCCATATGCAGAAAACTGAAACTGGACCCTTTCGTTATACCTTATACAAAAATTATCTCAAGATGGATTAAAGACTTAAAACGTAAAACCTAAAACCATAAAAATCCTAGAAGAAAACCTAGGCAATACCATTCAGGACGTAGGCATGGGCAAAGACTTCATATCTAAAACACCAGAAGCAATGGCAGCAAAAGCCAAAATTGACACATGGGATCTAATTAAACTAAAGAGTTTCTGCACAGCAAAAGGCACTATCATCAGAGTGAACAGGCAGCCTACAGAATGGGAGAAAATTCTTGCAATCTATCTGACAAAGAGCTAATATCCAGAATCTACAAAGAACTTAAATTTACAAGAAAAAAAAACCATCAAAAAGTGGGTGAAGGATATGAACAGACACTTCTCAAAAGAAGACATTTATGCGGCCAACAAACATATTTAAAAAAGCTCATCATCACTGGTCATTAGAGAAATGCAAATCAAAACTACAGTGAGATACCATCTCACGCCAGTTAGAATGGCGATCATTAAAAAGTCAGGAAATGACAGATGCTGGAGAGGATGTGGAGAAATAGGAACGCTTTTACGCTGTTGGTGGGAGTGTAAATTAGTTCAACCATTGTGGAAGACAGTGTGGTGATTCCTCAGGGACCTAGAACTAGAGATACCATTTGACCCAGCAATCCCATTACTGGGTATATACCCAAAGGACTATAAATCATTCTGCTATAAAGACACATGCACACATGTGTTTATTACAGCACTACTCACTATAGCAAAGACTTGGAACCAACCCAAATGTCCATCAAAGATAGAGTGGATAAAGAAAATGTGGCACATATACACCATGGAATACTATGCAGCCATTAAAAAGGGTGAGTTCATGCCCTTTGCAGGGACATGGATGAAGCTGGAAACCATCATTCTCAGCAAACTAACACAAGAACAGAAAACCAAACACCTCATGTTCTCACTCATAAGTGGGAGTTGAACAATGAGAACACATGGACGCAGGGAGGGGAACATCACACGCCTGTCGGGGGTTGGGCGGCTAGGGGAGGGATAGCATTAGGAGAAGTACCTAATACAGGTGATGGGTTGATGGGTGCAGCAAACCACCATGGCACATGTATACCTGTGTAACAAAACTTCACGTTCTGCACATGTACCCCAGAATTTAAAGTATATTAAAAAAAAGTCTTTTTCAACAAATGATAGTAGGCCTACTGGATATTTACAGAGAAAGAAAAAGTGAACTTTAATCTTTAACTCACACCATCGCCACAATTAACTTAAAACAGACAATAATAAATAGGCTCATGTCTAAAAGTTAAAGGTTTAAAATTTTTAGGATAAAACCAAGCTTTTCATAGAAATATTTGCAAACTGGACAAAGCTTTAAAATACCAAAAACACATACCATAAAAGAAAAAATGAGGCCAGGCACAGTGGCTCACGCCTATAATTCTAACACTTTGGGAGGCTGCAGTGAGAGGATCACTTGAGACTAGGAGTTTGAAACTAGCCTGGGGAACATAGTGACACCCTGTATCTACAAAAAATAATAATAAATTAGCTAGTTGTGGTGGTGTGTGTCTGTAGTCCCAGCTGCTTGGGAGGATGAAGCAAGAGGGTGGCTTGAGCCCAGGAGGTCAAGGCTGCAGTGACCCATGATTGGACCACTAACTACACTCCAGCATGGGCGACAGAGTGAGACCCTATCTCAAAAAAGAAAAAATGATCATCATTTCGACCTCATCAGAATTTAAAACTTAGGCTCTTCAAAAGACACCATTAATAAAAGGAAAAGGTAAACCAGGACCAGGGTAAAAATATTTGCAGCACGTAACAGAGAACTCTTACAACTGAATAATAAGACAGACATTCCAGTTAAAAAACTTTCCACAGACGTTTACAAAAGATACCTAATTGTACACCAAGTAAATGGAAAGATGGTCAACATTATTCATCATTAGGGAAGTGCAAATTAAAAATGTGTTTATGGGAGAATATATATCATATAGGAGAAGTCTTATTCATTTAAATCACTGTTTATTTAGCTGGCTCTTTAATAAAAATCATATTTGAAATCAATTTAAACTGCTGGTGACTTTGATAGTTTTACTGGTTAAGGCACTTCCTTCCCCACCTCTTATTTGTGGCTGTAATGTTTGTGGATCAAGATGCAAAATAGTGGCTCCTAAATGTGAGGGTGCTTAAAAATGCAGGTTTCTGGGGTCCATTCTGCTTACAAGGAATTAGATTCTGGAGGTGGGGCCCCAGAATCTGCATTTCCACAAACATTGTAGGTGTTTATGATGCAAATACATCACAAACAATTGTTTTAAAAATGCTGGGCCAAAGAGTATCTTTTGTTTAGGTAGTAGTTGATCCTAGGAAAACATTTTAAACTCCCAGAGACCCAAGAAGCCCATATGTTTGATTTGGGAGTTTCCTGCTCAACTTTGACCTGACAGTTCAACAAGCAGTATGACCATTTCCCACAAGATTTCTTGTATCTCTTCAGTTGTTTCCTAGCTTGAAATCAGAAAATAGTCTTCATTCATCTCCATATAAATAAGATTTTAGTGAAAATTTATAAAACCAATTGTATTGACACTTCAGAACATGTGTAATCATTGCAGAAAGCATAAAATAATGCAATATGCTATCATAATGTCTCAGATTTTGTTGCTTTGAAATTGTCAAAGGGTGAGCCCAGCACACTGGCATGCTGCATCTGTAGTCCCAGCTACTCAGGAGGCTCTAACACAGGAGTTTGAGACCAGCTTGGGCAACATAACGAGACCCCTGTCTCTCAAAAATAGTAATAATAATAATTTTAAAAATCAGGGAAAAAACTGCAATGATATTAGCAAAGGCCACCACTCTTTATATTGCATCTTCCCTAGTTTGTTTTTCAATATTACATATTTGCAGACATTTGCTTTCTGTTAATAAAGCACTAAACAGTGCCATGTTAAATAAACGTGGATAGGAACCATTTGAATCAGCTGTGGAGACAGCTGTGTTACTGCATTTTTGGTTTGGTTAACATAGGATTGTACCTGTGTCAACTTGTATCGTACTCACTCGGATATTAAACTGTTCCTTAGATATAGATCTGGTATGGTTTTGAAAATATGCTTTTATTTATGAGGGAATCATATTTGATGTACTGTTTCTTCTATATCATTCTGTGAGCACTTTGTAAATATCACAGTAACAGTTGCTGGACATCACATCTTTGAAGCATTTTACAGGAGATCTTAGCACAAGACATAAAAAATAAAACTTATCTAAGGATTTGAAAGGAAGAATCAAATTGTTACTTGCAGATGATTTGTCTACAGTGATCATCCAAGATAGTGCTCATTTTGGCAGCACATATAGCAGCAGTGGAAAATCATGAGAGAATCTAGACAGACTGTTGGAATTAAACTCACCAAGGTGACTAGGTATAAGATCAGTACGTGAAAATTAGTAACTTTTTAATATGAACAGTATCCATGTATAGTTACTTTATGACATCTCCATCTAGATAAGACATCTAAATTTAAATGTCTAAAACAATGCTCTTGAAAATCTACCTCTTCCCACTTCCAACCCACTCCTCCCATGTCATGACTGTGTATCCAGTGAAAATCTTAGAATGAGTTATCCTTGATCCCTCAAAATCAATCCATCAGCACAACCTGTTTTCTCAAGCTTCCAAATATATTCAGAAACCAGCCACTGCTCGCTACTCTCCCTTGCAGCCACCCTAGATTGTATCTGCCGTCACCAGTTGCCTGGAGCACTCCAGGACTTCCCTGCTTCCCACTGTTGGGCTCCTACAGGAACTTCCTTGGTACTTCACAAAGTAGCCAGAATTAACCTTATGATATGTGTCAGATCATGCTACTCCTTGCTCAAAAACACTGTAGTTTGTTACACTTTGAATAATCTATACTCCTACAAGGAGACCTGGCTCTTGTACCTCTGAGCTCAGCTCCTACCTCCTACTCCTCCCTCACTGCACAGTGGTCACTTCAGCCTCCTTGTTCAACTCGCCAAATACATTACTACTTTCTTCCCCTAGATCTCTGTCGTTCAGGTCTTGGCAGCAGTGTCCCTCCTCAGAGAGGCATTTTCGGTTCTAAACACAGCCCCGCCGTGTTTGATTTTTCTTTATACACACATTTTCACCTAACATATTCAACTTTTGTTCCCCCTACTAGGAGGTTAGTGCCATGAGAGCAGGTGCTTTTCTTTATTCCCCACTGTAGCCCCAGCCAATAGACGGTAACTGGCATATAGTAAACATTCATACATTTGTATTGAATGGATGGGGTATATACTTTTTTACCCCACCTGGCCACTTTAGACATTTCCATTTGTAATTTGCAGAACAGCCTCTTGGCTCTGTGAGAGAAAAACACTGTATCTTAATTTCCTTTTTCTCCAACATCTAAACAGTCCATGGAATTAATATATAGGAATTATATATTATATATAGGAATATATATTACATTATAGGAATATATATTATATATAGGAATATAATATTATATAGGAATTAATGACATACAGTTATGCCTTATACTTTATTTTTCCTTGATTTGATTAAGATTTATGTAAATTTGAGTTTCATACTAATGAAACTAATGAGCTGAGGAGCATCTCTTGTTTTAAAGGCGCCAAAGAATGTTTTTGTTACATAACATCTAAGAAACAGACAGGGCAGAAAGCAGGAAGGAATAGATGCCAACACTGTGTTGCAAGGAATTGTGCCTTCATGTCCCGGTGTCTTTAGTTTCATGCTTTAGTAAAATATAATCTTACTTTTGGTGCTTGCTTTCTTTTTTTGTTTGTCATCTTTTCTGTTCAACATATGCAGAGGGATTCTTAAGCTACACAAAAGAATGTTCTAAATTGGTAGGGCTAAAAACATGTTTGGATTTTATTACCTTCAGCTAAATTATTCCACTACTCAGATTATTTAATCTTTATAGAATTGAATTAAAGCCAAATTTCCTCCATATTATGAATGTCCTTGTCTATTTCTAATTATTTCTTGTATCTCCTAAATCCTGGATATTTCCTCTGACTCCTTAATCCTGAATGAAATTACTATATCATTTCAAAGCTTACGTTACTATGAATTTCAGTGATGATGGAAATAAAGTAGTCTCACAAAATGGGTTTTGCTCTGACATCATTTCCTAGAACAAAAACATCAAAATCTACTATTTTGAAACTTAGTGCCTGACTGAATTTCTGACTTTCTGACTGAATTTCTGACACTTTAGGCATGTGAACCACCACCACTACTCCCCCTACCCCACCAAAAGTCATTTATGTTTTATATCAGCGTTAGGCCCTGATGTTGTCTGAGGTTTGCTATTCAGAAATCTGTTCTATTGAGAAGTTCTGGTATCAGGTGGGTTAGTTAGAAGATGCTACTGTAATATGGAGGCCAGGACATCAGAGATCAGTTCTAGTGTATTCCAAACTCTCAGATGAAATAGATATTTCAATTCTTGGAAGTTTGTATCCCAAATTCATTTTTGTTTAGTCCTTTGCCACTCTAGTTACAATCTGATTGTGATTTTTGTCTTCATATATTGTCTGCTAAATGTATGTAAGTTGTATTAACTCTTTATTCATCATACATGTATCAGAAAATCCAAGCGACCTATTAAAGTATATCGTTACCAATTATACCAACCAAATAAATTTCAACATTCAGTCTGCCTGAGCATTTTCTATTTGCATATACCTTTGAAGAAGAAAAATAATCCCACTTTTTCATTTTCTAAAACGCAATCTTTATTGGTTTCTGCTAATTTAAAAAGTGACGCACATTTCTGATAGATTGTTAGACCCAATTTTTCTTAAAATGGCATTGTTATGACAAAAGTCAGCTGTCTGAATAGAGTTTGGGGAAACATATATTTTGAAGAATTGCTTCTTATGTTGTTTTCTTTTTATTTACAGTATATCTCTCTACCGGGGGAATTGCAGGCCCATACGATTTGAGCCACCAATGCTGGATTTCCATGAACAGTAAGTTTAAAATTTTTGGACTGTACTTTCCCATTAAACTATTAAATGTATTTTACATGCATTTGTCTTGTCTTTTGCCTGTGTTACATCTATGTGGGAAAGTTACATGTTCTAGTCATCAGGAAAACAAATGATACTGAATGCAGTTTGAAAATGGGAAGTAAGTATCTATTAGGAGTCTAACATGTAATATTAACTTTTAAAGCTTGAAAAATACTCGCTTGTTGTAGTCTCTGGTTCAGAGACTCTTTGGAAACAGCAAAGAACTTATAGTTAGCTGTTTTGATTAGCACTTCATTTTTATTTTTACTATTTAAAAATCTTCTTATGAATAAAATATATTCTATTTGTTTAATATATGTGCTTTTAATAGACAAGCTCTTATATATCACCAAATAGTATTATCACCAACCCATAATGGCAGGTAAAAGCAAACGCACAGACAGACATGGTTCATTCACAGAACTCTGCCTTGATGAGCTAAGCAAACCACTGCACACCCTCCCCCAAGCAGGAGAGACCCCCGGGCCTCTAAGCAGCTAATATACCCAAGGGCCAGCAAAGCAGCTACATACCTGCACTCAGCACCTAAGAAAGAGCCCCACAGTGCACCCCCAAGATATTTCCTTGGCCTGCCCAATGGCCCTGCACCTGAAATCAGGGCCTGAAAAACAGCCCTGTGGGCAACCACCGGCAGACACACCTCCAGACCAGCTGAGCATCTCTGTGCCTGTGTCAGGCCTAAGAAATAGCCCTGTGGGTCGCCACTAGCAAACATGTCCCCAGGCTAGCCAAGCAGCTTTGTGCTCACATCATGGACCTGAGAAGCAGCTGTATAGGCTGCCCCTGGCAGACACATCCTCGGGCCAGCTGAGCAGACTTGCAACTGTGTCTTGGACCTGAGAAACAGCCCCATAGGGCAGACACACTTCAAGGCCAACTAAACACCCATGTGTCTGCACCCCCACCCTGAGAAACAGCCCCATGGGTCACCCCAAGCCAACAGACACCCAAGCCATCTGAGAAGCCATGAGACTGCATCCCACGCCTGAAAAACAGCCCTGCGGGCCATCCCTGGCAAACATAACTCCCAGTTCAGCTGAGCAGCCTCAGCGGGCTCCTATATGT
The DNA here is from genome assembly GCF_000001405.40 of Homo sapiens. Taxonomy (NCBI): domain Eukaryota; kingdom Metazoa; phylum Chordata; class Mammalia; order Primates; family Hominidae; genus Homo; species Homo sapiens. The sequence goes on along the minus strand of NW_025791765.1, from coordinate 812,954 downwards.
CCCTTCTCAGATTCTCCAAAAAGAGTTTTTTCATCTTGCTGAGTCAAAAGAAAGTTTTAACTCTGTGACATAAATCCACACGTCACAAAGCAGTTTCACAGATAGCTAGGCCTGAGAAACAGCCCTTTGGGCTACTCCTGGCAGGCATACACCCACACCATCCAACTAAACACGTGCTTGTGCTGCTGTCCAGAGTAACAGCCCTGCGTTTTAGAGCCAGACCCTAAGTTGGCCAGATTCCAAGCTGCCTGACCCACTGTGTGGATGCACACATCCCTGACCTGAGAAACAGCCTTGTGAGCCCACCCTCAACAAAGCTGCACCACTACCACCACAGACTCTCTCAGCCTAGGCTACTGAGATACTTGCAGACGTCAAGTGTGACTGACAGCTGAGGAAAGTACCCAGAGACTACACTACAGTGCCCACCTAGACACAGATGCACCAAAGCCAATGCACCCCACCAATCTGACACTCCAAGACCCATTTATAAGAATAAGTCTTTCCCTGTGAAATGTACTCCATAAAATTGGAAGAAATGACTTTTCTACCAGATGTATAGAAATCAACATGGGGACACATCAAACACAAAAAAGCAAGGAAACATGACGCCTCCAAAGGAAAACAATAATTCTTCAGTAACAGACCCCAATCATAAGAAAATATACTAAATGCTAGAGAAAGAATTCAAAATAATCTTAAAGAATCTCAGTGAGATACAGGAAAACTTACAGTTCAGCAAAATCAAGAAAACAATTCATGATTTGAATAAGAAATTCAACAAAGAGACAGGTAACATAACAAAGAACCAAACAGAAATCCTAGAGCTGAAGAATTCAATGAGTGAAATAAAAAATACAGTCAAGAGCTTCAACAATAGACTAAACCAAGCAGAAGAAAGAATTTCTGAACTTGAAGACAGATCTTTTGAAATGACACAGGCAGACAAAAAAAGAAAAAAGGGTGAAGAAAGCCTACAGGATGTATTGTATACCATGAAGTGAACAAATATATTATGGTCATTCCAGAAGGAGAAGAGAAAGGAGAAAGGCTTAGAAAACATACTTAATGAAATAGTAGCTGAAAACTTCCCAAGTCTTGAAATTTGAGATGGACATCCAGGTCCAGTAAACTCAAAGAATTCCAATTAGAGTCAGCCCAAACAGGTTATCTCTGAGGCACATTATAGTCAAATTATCAGATGTTAAAGGCAAAGAATTCTAAAAGTAGCAAGAGAAAAGTGTCAAGTCACATATAAGGGAATTCCCATTAAACTAACAGCAGATTTCTCAGCAGAAAACTTACAGGCCAGGAAAGAATGAAATGATATATTAAAAATACTCAAAGTGGGGGTGGGGGACCTGTGAGCCAAGAACACTATATACCCTGCAAAGCTACATTTCAGAAATAAAAAAGAATTAAAATCTTTCACAAACGGCCGGGCGCGGTGGCTCACGCCTGTAATCCCAGCACTTTGGGAGGCGGGCGGATCACAAGGTCAGGAGATCAAGACCATCCTGGCTAACATGGTGAAACCCCGTCTCTACTAAAAATACAAAAAAAAATTAGCTGGGCGTGGTGGCGGGCGCCTGTAGTCCCAGCTACTCGGGAGGCTGAGGCAGGAGAATGGACCGGGAAGCGGAGCTTGCAGTGAGCGGAGATCGCGCCACTGCCCTCCAGGCTGGGTGACAGAGCGAGACTCCGTCTCAAAAAAAAAAATCTTTCACAAACAAGGAGAAATGAAGGGAATTCATCACTGCTAGACTGGCCTTACAAGAAATGCTTAAGGGACTCTTATATCTGGAAATGAAAACATAACCACCATTATGAAAACATGTGAAACTATAAAATTCACTGGTAGAGCCCAAATACAAAGAAAGGAAAAAGAATCAAACCGTATCAATGTGGAAAACCACCCAAGCACAGAAAAACCATAAGAAAAGAAGTACAGAACAAAAGATAAAACATCCAGAGAACAATATGACAGGAACAAGTCTTTACCTATCAATAACCTTGAATGTAAATGGGTTCAGTTCCCCCATCTAAAAGATATAAACTGGCTGAATGGATAAACCCCAACTATATACTGCCTGTAAGAAACTCACCTCATCTGTAAAGTCATACAGACTGAGAGTGAAGGGAAAGAAAAAGATACTTCATCCAAATGGAAACCAAAAGCCAGCAGGAGTAGCATTACTTACATAAGGCCAAACAGACATCAAGTAAAAAGCTATAAAAAGCAACAAAGAAGGACATTATGAGATAAAGGGATCAGTTAAGCAAGAAAATATAACAGTTGGAAATATATATGCACCTAGCACTAGAGCACCCAGATATAAAAAGCAACTATTAGATCTAAAGGGAGAGATAGACCCCAGTACAATAATAGAGTTGGGGATTTCAGCAGTCCACTCTCAGCATTGGACAGGTCATCTAGACAGAAAATCAACAAAGAAGCATTGGATTTAAACTACACCATCAACTAAATGGACCTAACAGACATTTACAGAACATTTCACCAAAAAGCTGCAGAATACCATTTCTTTCGTCAACACATGAAGCATTCTTCAGGATTGATCGTATGTTAGGACACAAAATGAATCTCAAAAAAATTTTTTTAAATTAATTTTATCAACTATCTTATCTGACCACAATGGAATTTAAAACTAGAAATCGATAACAAGAGGAACATTCAAAACTACAAATACGTGAAAATCAAACAACATGTTCCTGAATGACCAATGGGTGAAGGAAGAAATTAAATGGTAAACTAAAATATTTCTTGAGACAAATGAAAATAGAAATACAATATACCAAAACCTATGGGGCACAGCAAAAGCAATATTAAGAGGCAAATTTATATAACAATAAATCCTACATCAAAAAACTAGAAAGATTTCAAATAAACAACCTAATGATGCATCTTAAAGAACTAGAAAAGAACAAATCAAAGCCTCAAAATTAGTGGAAGGAAATAAGTAAGATCAAAATCAAAATGAATGAAATTGAGACTAAAAATACCTACAAAAAGTGGGGAACATCTGTATTTATTTGTTGAGTTACAAAAATCTAACCATATTATCTCAATATACCATTTTTATAACAATATATTGTGCATACTTCAAAAAATTCCATTGAATTTTCTGTTATTTTATAATAAAGAACATCAAAATTTATGGGTATATTATATTTGTTAAATTCACTTATTTTTAATTGTTTTAAACTTTTTATTTTGTGATCAGTGCTGAAACTGATGATTTAAACACAACCATGACTATTTCCTTTCCTCAAGAGAGAGTCCTAATGGAAGGATATACAGAATATTAAAGATTTTAATTAACCTTTAGCCTAGAGAACAGTTCGGTGTCATGAACAAGGAGCAACTTAAAGAAATAAAAGAATCAGTCTATGACAAGTGAGGAAATAAATGGGATTTCTCATAGAGACTGTTACTAGTCATAGAGAACCTGAAATCTCATGAGCTGAGAGAAATTGTGGAAGATTTGTGGAAGAAGTGTGAATGGGTAGATGAACTCCAGTACAAGCAAGGGTCAGTTGACACAGTAAAGAAAATTTATTTGAAGCATAGCAAAGGAGTATAGTTATATAAGACTGTTCCCCAAAGCAGCGGATTTACATGCTGCTCCAAAATAGTGGAAACAGACAAACAAACTTCGCTATAGTCTGAATGTGTCCTCCCAAAATTCATACATTGAAACCTAATCTCTGATGTGATTGTGTTCAGAGGTGGAGCTTTAGGAGGTGTTTAGGTCAGGAGCGCAGACCTAATCTCACAAATGGGATTAGTGACCTTACAAGAGAGGCCCCATAGAGCTACTGTCCCCTTTCTGCCATGTGAGGACCCAGCTAGAAGGTGTCACCTGTGACCCAGAAAGAAGGCTCCACACCAGAACCCAACCATGCCGACACCCCGATCTCAGATTTCCCAGCCTCTAGATCTATGAAAAATAAATTTGTCATTTATTGTGCTATAGCAGTCCAAAAGGACTGAGCCACCATTCTACTATTATTTAAAACTTTCTGGATCAAGTCAGAGAACACTGAGCGGAGTTTGTTATATCTCGCAAGTGTAGAAGTGGATCTGTAGAAGTAGGGGTTGCAGGCAGGTGTGAACCAACATGTGTAAGGGTTCAATCAGAGGCAGAACCAGTCAGATTTTAAATGAATGTATATGTATATATACACGCACATGGGTTTATAATAAGGAATTGGCTTATGCATTTGAGAGAGCTGGTTAAGCAAGCTCAAAGCCCACAGGGCCAGGGAGTCAGTAAGGGAGGATAGCGGGCTGGAACCCCAAGGGCACAGACTGAAGTTTCTTGTCCACAGATAAGTATCCAGGGAAGATCCTGAGGAGAGGAGAGAAATTGCAGGTCTAGCTGCTGTTTGAAGCCTCTTGGCTCAGACAGGGCCTAAGCTTTCTTTGAAAGTGCTTCCCAGTGACAAAGTCACAGACTCACCTAGAATAATCGTTTTTATTAACTTGAAATCAGCCTATTAGGGACTTTAATTATGTTGGCAAAATCTCTCCCAGCAGCACTTAGGTTAGTGTTTGAATAACTGGGAAAAGGTATATTATGCTACAAAATAGCTGCTGTCTCACTTTTCTCTTCTGTCTCTAAGGAGATAATATTACTTTTAACTCACCCTAACCAGAAACATACTAGAAAGGGAGTTCTGGGGACTTTAGTTCAAGTCAAGTTGATATCACAAAGCTACCCCATAGATACAAACAAAGAGGTTCCTAAATTTTGAACTTCTGACTCTAGAAAATGAAGAGAGATATGGTTGAAAGAATTTGCTTAGTAATTTTAAGGTAAGGTTCTTTTTGTGAAACTTGAAAGTAGTCTTGGGACAAAGAAAATGAAATTTGTACATTTTCACTGCAGAAAGTAAATTATCAATGTCTTCAGAAAGTGACTGCTAAAGGAAAACAGATATTTTAGAATAGATCCTCTTTTAAAGTTATTGTATGTTTTTTCCACTCTCAGAAGCATACAACTTGTTGATTCAAGTTTTTTCCTGCATTAACTGCATTTATTTTTGCCCCCACAAATCACTGCTCTTTTTAACATGAATGTTATTAAGTGAAAAAAGATTAGAATACTGTAATACAGAATGGCCCCTCTTAATACCTGTTAGCTACCTATTCAACATCTACCTCCCCCGCCCCCCCCCCTTTTTTTTTTTTTTTTGCAGTTATCCAGCCTTTAGGCCTGGCACCCTGTCCCTAGCTCAGGGGTAAATCTTGATAAGTCAGTTGTAATAATTCCATTATTATTGCTTGTGGTCTGTTCAAGGGTGAGTGTGACCCAGTTTTACTCTGTAACAGGAGGGCAGGTCAACTGAGGTGTTTCTGGGGAAGGATTGTTTTTTTTACTCTAAAAAGAGTCACAGCCAGATGCTGTGGCTCACGCCTGTAATCGCAACCCTATGGGAGGCCGAGGTGGGAGGATTGCTTGAGCTCAAGAGTTTGAGACCAGCCTGGGCAACATAGTGAAACCCAATCCCTACAAAAAATTTTAAAAAGTAGCTGGGCATGGTGGTGTGCACCTGTAGTCCCAGCTATTCAGGAGGCAGAGGTTGCAGTGAGCTGAGATCACAACAGTGCACTCCAGCCTGGGCAACAGAGCCAGACCCTGTCTCAAAAAAAAAAAAAAGAGTCGCAAGAAAGAAACGCCCATCTTCTATGCCAGATACTGTCTGCATGCAGTGCCTAGGATACTGCGGCAATCATCTTGCAATCAGTGAGGGGTTCTAGCCGGAGGACTGATGCCATGCAGTCATGAAAGGCAACTGGTCTAACAGAGTGGAAAGATGGAAAGAACCTGCGTCTTTCATAATGTTGTCGAACTGCTAAATTAACCCTGGAACTGCCCTACTTTAGGTCTTTTTGTTTGGTGACACTTTGATCTGTTGGAGAGTGCATGGCACCTGGCACCACTGACTTCTTCCTCCCTCTCAGATCTTTCCCTGCCTATACCCTTGTGAACCATTGTCCATGTTTTCCTCCTGTGCCTGAGGCTATTTTTAAAATTATCTTTCAAGGGTTTATGTTCCTCTGTGTATCCCCAAATTGTGGTTGTGTGCGGCTGCATTTCTTTCTTCACCTCATTTCAACCAACTCTGCGCTTTCTTACTGGGTGGGCTCTTCCATGCCTTTGACATATGCCTGTAATCTCCCAATCTCTGTCATCCCCCCTCACTTACCATGTGTCTCCAACACCACACTAAACTCACCATGTCTTGCTCTTCTGTATCTCCAGTCCATGAACGGTACCACAGTCACCAAAGCCAGAATATTCAGGCTTCCTGGATTCCTCCCTTTCCCTCACAGCACTCCATCCCCTTCCTGTCAAATCCATTCCAGGAAGGAATCCTATGAATTTTTCATGTCTGTTCTGCTCTAATCCTCACTACTTACCCCTCTCCTCTTAACTCAGGTCCACATCATTTCTCATCTGGACTGTTACCATATGCCTGCCACTTTCTAGTCAGGATTCATGCTGTCAACAGGGAAATGTTTTTCACATCAAAATCTGATCATGTCGTTTTTCCCACTTCCCCTCCCCCAAAATTCCTTTAATGGTTTCCTATTTGCCTTCAGGATAAATGCTAAATTCATTATAAAACCTGCCTTTTTACCTTCCTTATATGTCCTCCACACCTGGGGAGAACTACATGTCATTTCCTGAAAGCACTGATCTTCATAAGGGCTGGGCGTGTTATTCATACCTTGAGTCTCCCCTCTAAAGATAGTTTTTTATGGAAGTTTTCATACATATAGGAAAGTAGAAAGAACAAATAATGAATGTACTTTTAACATAAACTCAGGGATTATTGCCATTTTTGCATATTTATACTTCTGTTTTTGAATCATTTGAAAGCAGCAGACCTCATGACCTTTCATTCCTAATTCTTGAGCACACACTGCCATACAGTTGATCCTTTAACAACATGGCAGGTTAGGGGCACGGACTCCCCACCACACTGCGTAGTTGAAAATTCACATGTAACTTTTGACTCCCCAAAAACTTAACTACTAATAGCCTACTTTTGACCAGAAGCCTTACTGATAATATAAGCAGTCAGTTAACATGTATTTTGTATGTAATAGGCATTATATGTACTGTATTTTTACCATAAAGGAAGCTAAAAAAAAATGTTAAGAAGACAGTAAGGAAATTCTCATTCATTAAGTGGAGGTGGATCATCGTAAAGGTCTTCACCTCATCTTCACATTGAGTAGGCTGAGGAGGAAGTGATAGTCTTGCTGTCACAGGTGGCAGAGGCGGAAGAAAATCCGTGTGGACCCTCATAGTTCAAACCCATATTGTTCAAGAGTCAACTGTATAAGGACATTCTGCATAACTACAGTACCATTATTGACATTGTGAGAAAATTAATAGTAATTATGGAGTGCTTTTAATCTCCCTCTGTTTTGGTCAAGGCTGTAGTTATTTGGTTGTAAGTGACAGAAACCTGAAATTAACTGAGGCAAAAATGATAATATATTGGAATACTGAGGACCATAATATATCTGCAGGAAAGTCAGAGATGCAGCTGGCACCTGGGAACAACAGCATTCACTTGCTCTAACACCACCAGGAGTCTTCTGTCTCTTATTTCTGCCTGTCTATGTATTGGCTTATTCTCTCTCACTGCCGGTATCCTTTCCCTACAGCAGTGGGAAGAAATTCGCTGACTGCTCTTCAGCCTTGCATTCTGTGTCTTCACTCCACTGGGAAGCTCTGTTGTAAAGCAAGCCTTTCCCCAGTCTAACTAGCAGGGGTGGAAACTGCCTTCTCTCTGCTTCCAGGGTGGTGTTAATCCTGCTGAGATGAGATGGAGCCCCACCCAAAATTTGGTTCAGATATCAAGACTGTTGATGTCACATATGCACAGACACCAGCAGAATGAAAAAGTTTATTGTACTCACCGAATGAAGATTCTAGGGGATGACCATGGTAGGCAGATGTGAGAAAGGGCTGGAGAGAGCAGAGAAGGACTAGATTGGTTTTTTTGTTTGTTTGCTCATTATTATTATTTTTTAATTATTATACTTTAAGTTCTGGGGTATATGTGCAGAACGTGCAGTTTTGTTACATAGGTACACATGTGCCATGGTAGTTTGCTGCATGCATCAACCCATCACCTACGTTAGGTACTTCTCCTAATGTTATCCCTCCTCTAGCCCCCCAGCCCCTGACAGGCCCTGGTGTATGATGTTCCCCCCTCTATGTCCATGTGTTCTCATTGTTCAACTCCCACTTACGAGTAAGAACATGCAGTGTTTGGTTTTCTGCTCTTGTGGTAGTTTGCTGAGAATGATGATTTCCAGCTTCATCCATGTCCCTGCAAAGGGCATGAACTCATCCTTTTTTATGGCTGCATAGTATTCCATGTTGTATGTGTGCCACATTTTCTTTATCCAGCCTATTGATGGACATATGAGTTGCTTCCAAGTCTTTGCTATTGTGAATAGTGCCACAGTAAACATACGTGTGCATGTGTCTTTATAGTAGAATGATTTATAGTCCTTTGGGTATATACCCAGTAATGAGATTGCTGGGTCAAATGGTATTTCTAGTTCTAGATCCTTGAGGAATCACCACACTGTATTCTACAATGGTTGAACTAATTTACCTGCCCACCAACAGTGTAAAAGCGTTCCTGTTTCTCCACATCCTGTCCAGCATCTGTTGTTTCCTGACTTTTTAATGATCGCCATTCTAACTGGTGTGAGATGGTATCTCATTGTGGTTTTGATTTGCATTTCTCTAATGACCAGTGATGATGAGCATTTTTTCATATGTTTGTTGGCTGCATAAATGTCTTCTCTTGAAGTGTCTGTTCCTATCCTTTGCCCACTTTTTAATGGGATCTTATTTTCTTGTAAATTTGTTTAAGTTCCTTGTAGATTCTGGATGTTAGCCCTTTGTCAGATGGATAGATTGCAAAACTTTTCTCCCATTCTGTAGGCTGCCTGTTCACTCTGATGATAGTTTCTTTTGCTGTGCAGAAGCTCTTTGGTTTAATTAGATCCCATGTGTCAATTTTGGCTTTTGTTGCCATTGCTTTTGGTGTTTTAGTCATGAAGTCTTTGCCCATGCCTATGTCCTGATTGGTATTCCCCAGGTTTTCTTCTAGGATTTTTATGGTCCTAGGTCATATGTTTAAGTCTTTGATCCATCTTGAGTTTATTTTTGTATAAGGTACAAGGAAGCGGTCCAGTTTCAGTTTTCTGCATATGGCTAGCCAGTTTTCCCAACACCATTTATTAAATAGGGAATCTTTTCTGCATTGCTTGTTTGTGTCAGGTTTGTCAAACATCAGATGGTTGTAGATGTGTGGTGTTGTTTCTGAGGCCTTTCTTCTGTTCCGTTGGTCTATATATCTGTTTTGGTACCAGTACCATACTGTTTTCGTTACTGTAGCCTTGTAGCATAGTTTGAAGTCACATAGTGTGATGCCTTTAGCTTTGTTCTTCTTGCCCAGGATTGTCTTGGCAATACGGGTTCTTTTTTGGTTCCATATGAAGTTTAAAGTAGTTTTTTCCAATTCTATGAAGAAAGTTAGTGGTAGCTTGTTGGGGATAGCAGTGAATCTATAAATTACTTTGGGCAGTATGGCCATTTTCATGATATTGATTCTTCCTATCCATGAGCATGGAATGTTTTTCCATTTGTTTGTGTCCTCTCTTAATTTCCTTGAGCAGTGGTTTGTAGTTCTCCTTGAAGAGGTCCTTCACATCCCTTGTTAGTTGGATTCCTAGGTATTTTGTTCTCTTCGTAGCAATTGTGAATGGGAGTTACTCATGATTTGGCTCTCTGTTTGTCTGTTAGTGGTGTATAGGAATGCTTCTGAGTTTTGCACATTGATTTTGTATCCTGAGACTTTGCTGAAGTTGCTTATCAGCAGCTTAAGGAGATTTTGGGCTGAGTCGATGGGGTTTTCTAAACGTATCATCATTTCATCTGCAAACAGATACAATTTGACTTCCTCCTTTTCTATTTGAATACCCGTTATTTCTTTCTCTTGCCTGATTGCCCTGGCCAGAACTTCCAATACTATGTTGAATAGGGGTGATGAGACAGGGCATCCTTGTCTGGTGCCAGTTTTCAAAGGGAATGCTTCCAGTTTTTGCCCACTCAGTATGGTATTGGCTATGGGTTTGTCATAAATAGCTTTTATTATTTTGAGATATGTTCCATCAATACCTAGTTTATTGACAGTTTTTAGCATGAAGGAGTGTTGAATTTTGTTGAAGGCCTTTTCTGCATCTATTGAGATAATCCTGTGGCTTTTGTCATTGGTTCTGTTTATGTGATGGATTACCTTTATTGGTTTGCTTATGTTGAACCAGCCTTTCCACCCCAGGGATAAAGACAACTTGATCGTGGTGGATAAGCTTTTTGATGTGCTATTCAGTTTGCCGGTATTTTATTGAGGATTTTTGCACCAGTGTTCATCAGGGATATTGGCCTGAAATTTTCTTTTTTTGTTATGTCTCTGCCAGGTTTTGGATCAGGATGATGCTGGCCTTATAAAATGAGTTAGGGAGGATTCCCTCTTTTTCTGTTGTTTGGAATAGTTTCAGAAGGAATGGTACCAGCTCCTCTTTGTACCTCTGATAGAATTTGGCTGTGAATCTGTCTGGTCCTGGACTTTTTCGGTTGGTAGGCTATTAATTACTGCCTCAATTTCAGAACTTGTTATTGGTCTATTCAGGGATTCGACTTTTTCCTGGTTTAGTCTTGAGAGGGTGTATGTGTCCAGGAATTTATCCATTTCTTCTAGATTTTGTAGTTTATTTGCATAGAGGTGTTTATAGTATTCTCTGATGGTAGCTTGTATTTCTGTTGGATAAGTGGTGATATCCCCTATATCATTTTTTATTGCATCTATTTGATTCTTCTCTATTAGTCTGGCTAGTGGTCTATCTATTTTGTTGACCTTTTCAAAAACACAGCTCCTGGATTCATTGATTTTTTTGAAGGGTTTTTTGTGTCTCTATCTCCTTCAGTTCTGCCCTGATCTTAGTTATTTCTTGTCTTCTGCTAGATTTTGAATTTTTTTGCTGTTGCTTCTCTAGTTCTTCTAATTTTGAAGTTATGTTTTCGATTTTAGATCTTTCCTGCTTTCTCTGATGAGCATTTAGTGGTGTAAACTTCCCTCTACACAGTGCTTTGAATGTGTCCCAGAGATTCTGGTACATTGTGTCTTCATTCTCATTGGTTTCAAAGAACATCTTTTTTCTGCCTTCATTTCATTATTTACCCAGTAGCCATTCAGGAGCAGGTTGTTCAACTTCCATGTAGTTGTGCAGTTTTAAGTGAGTTTCTTAATCCTGAGTTCGAATTTGATTGCACTGTGATCTGAGAAACTGTTTGTTATGATTTCTGTTATCTTGCATATGTTGAGGAGTGTTTTCCTTCCAATTATGTGGTCAATTTTAGAATAAGTGTGATGTGGTGCTGAGAAGAATATATATTCTGTTGATTAGGGGTGGAGAGTTCTGTAGATGTCTATTAGGTTTGCTTGGTCCAGAGCTGAGTTCAGGTCCTGAATATCCTTGTTAATTTTCTGTCTTGTTGATCTGTCTAATACGGACAATAGGGTGTTAAAATCTCCCACTATTAGATTGTGTGGGAGTTTAAGTCTCTTTGTAGGTCTCTAAGAACTTGCTTTATGAATCTGGGTGCTTCTGTATTGGGTGCATATATATTTAGGATAGTTAGCTCTTCTTGTTGCATTGATCCCTTTACCATTATATAATGCCCTTCTTTGTCTCTTTTGATCTTTGTTGGTTTAAAGTCTGTTTTATCAGAGATTAGGATTGCAACTCCTGCTTTTTTTCATTTCCATTTGCTTGGTAAATATTCCTCCATCCATTTATTTTGAGCCTGTGTGCCTTGCATGTGAGATGAGTCTCCTGAGTACAGCACACTGATGGGTCTTGACTCTTTTTTCAGTTTGCCAGTCTGTGTCTTTAATTGGGGCATTTAGCCCATTTACATTTAAGTTTAATATTGTTATGTGTAAATTTGATCCTGTTATTATGATGCTAGCTGGTTGTTTGCCTGTTAGTTGCAGTTTCTTCATAGTGTTGATGTTCTTTACAATTTAGTATATTTTTACAGTGGATGCTACTGGTTGTTCCTGTCCATATTTAGTGCTTCCTTCAGGAGCTCTTGTAAGGCAGGCCTGGTGGTGACAGAATATCTCAGCATTTGCTTGTCTGTAAAGGATTTTATTTCTCCTTCACTTATGAAGCTTAGTTTGGCTGGATATGAAATTCTGGGTTGAAAATTCTTTTCTTTAAGGATGTTGAATATTGGGCCTCACTCTCTTCTGGCTAGTAGAGTTTCTGCAGAGAGATCCGCTGTTAGTCTGATGGGCTTCCCTTTGTGGGTAACCCAACCTTTCTCTCTGGCTGCGCTTAACATTTTTTCCTTCATTTCAACCTTGGTGAATCTGACGATTATGTGTCTTAGGGTTGCTCTTCTCGAGGAGTGTTGTTGTGCTGTTCTCTGTATTTCCTGAATTTGAATGTTGGCCTGTCTTGCTAGATTGGAGAAGTTCTCCTGGATAATATCCTGAAGAGTGTTTTCTAGCTTGGTTCCATTCTCCTTGTCACTTTCAGGTACACCAATCAAACGTAGATTTGGTCTTTTCACATAGTCCCATATTTCTTGGAGGCTTTGTTCATTCCTTTTTATTCCTTTTTCTCTAATCTTGTCTTTGCTCTTTATTTCATTAAGTTGATCTTCAATCACTGATATCCTTTCTTCCACTTGACCAATTCGGCTGTTGAAACTTGTGTATGCTTCACAAAGTTCTCGTGCTGTATTTTTCAGCTCCATCGGGTCATTTATGTTCTTCTCTACACTGGTTATTCTAGTTAACAATTTGTCTAACCTTTTTTTCAAAGTTCTTGGCTTCCTTGCATTGGATTAGAACATACTTCTTTAGCTTGGAGGAGTTTGTTATTACCCACCTTCTGAAACCTACTTCTGTCAGTTCGTCAAACTCATTCTCCATCCAGTTTTGTTCCCTTGCTGGCGAGGAGTTGTGATCTTTGGAGGAGAAGAGACCTTCTGATTTTTGGAATTTTCAGCCTTTTTGTGCTGGTTTATCCCCATCTTTGGATTTATCTACCTTTGGTCTTTGATGTTGGTGACCTTTGGATGGCATCTTTGAGTGGACGTGCTATTCCTTTCTGTTAGTTTTCCTTCTGACAGGCTCCTCTGCTGCTGGTCTGCTGGAGTTTGCTGGAGGTCCACTCCCGACGCTGTTTGCCTTGGTATCAGCAGCGGAGGCTGCAGAACAGCAAAGATTGCTGCCTGATCATTCCTCTGGAAGCTTCTTCCCAGAGGGGCACCTGCCAAATGCCAGCTAGAGCTCTCCTGTATGAGGTGTCTGTTGGCCCCTACTGGGAGTTTTCTCCCAGTGAGGATACACGGCGGTCAGGGACCCACTTGAGGAGGCAGTCTGACCTTCAGCAGAGCTCGAACGCTGTGCTGGGAGGTCCACTGCTCTCTTCAGAGCTGCCAGGCAGGGATGTTTAAGTCTGCTGAAGCTTCGGCCACAGCTGCCCCTTTCCCCAGGTGCTCTGTCCCAGGGAGCTGGGGATTTATCTATAAGTCCCTGACTGGGGCTGCTGCCTTTTTTTCAGAGATGCCCTGCCCAGAGAAGAGAAATCTGGCAGTCTGGCCACAGCGGCCGTGCTGAGCTGCAGTGGGCTCTGCCCAGTTCGAACTTCCCCGTGACTTGTGACTTTGTTTACACTGTGATTGTAAAACCACCTACTCAAGCCTTAGCAATGGCGGACGCCCCTCCCCCCACCAAGCTCCATTGTCACAGGTTGACCTCAGACTGCTTCTGTGCTGGCAGCGAGAACTTCAAGCCAGTGAATCTTAGTTTGCTGGGCTCCATGGGGGTGGGACCCACTGAGCCAGGCCACTTGGGTCCCTGGCTTCAGCACCCCTTTCCAGGGGAGTGAATGGTTCTGTCTTGCTGGTGTTCCAGGTGCCAATGGGGTATGGAAAAAAAAGAACTCATGAAGTTAGTTCGGTGACTGCCCAAACGGCCGCCCAGTTTTGTGCTTGAAACCCAGGGCCCTGGTGGGGTAGGCACCGGAGGGAATCTCCTGGTTTGCAGCTTGCAGAGACCATGGGACAAGCGCAGTATCTGTGCCAGAGTTCCTCAGGTTCAGTCCCTGACAGCTTCCTTTGGGTAGAAGAGAAAATTCCCTGACCCCTTGTGCTTCACAGATGAGGTGATGCCCCACCCTGCTTCGGCTCGCCCTCCGTGGGCTGTACCCACTGTCTAACCAGTCCCAGTTGGAAATGTAGAAGTCACCCGCCTTCTGCATCCATCTCGCTGGGAGCCGCAGACTGGAGCTGTTCCTGTTCGGCCATCTTGCCAGCAATTGGTTTTTATTGCGGTTGGGGAGCAAGGCTGGAGTGGGTTTGCATGATTGGAACTTCTCACTAGCTCCGAGAGAGAAGGGCTTTTTGATTGGCTTGCCCAGGTTTGGGGCTAAAGGTAAAGGGGCATCATTGGGGCTTGAAAACTATCAACAGTTGAATATCAAAAATGGAGTTAGAGTCTTTCTAACTCATGGCATCTTCTAAAAAGTATCAGGCCCTTCAGGAAGGGTGCATCTAGAATTTCCCTTGCTTCTTTCTTGACCCCAGTGCTGACTCCTGTCATTACCCTGATCATTCCTACTCTCCTGTAGAATTTGTTTCACAATAAACAGATCAAATTAGCTTTCTTTGTTTTCAGACTTTTTGTTTAAATTTATTCTTTAAGCCTACCTGTATTCTCTCTGCCCTTCCTCCCTTTCCCTCCCCCTCTTTTCTTTTCCCCCTTTCTCTCCTCTTCTCTCCTTGTAACAATCCCATGGGGCAATCTAGACACCACTGGCTCCCCTCCCATTCTCCACTCCCCCCCCGACCCCATTTTTATGCCAGTGCTGTTAAATGTTTTTCTGTTTCCATAGCAACTCCTATAATTACCTGATGGATTCTTCCTGCCTGCTATACAGACAAAACCAGTTCACTGAGACCATGGTATTGCAATAAAGAGTTTTACTAACATGAGGCCAGCCACACAGGAGATAGAGTTATTACTCAAATCAGTCTCCCTGAAGGCTTGGAGATTAGGGTTTTACAAGGATAGTTTTGTGGGCAGGGGGCTAGGGAATGAGGAATGTTGATTGGTTGAGGATGGAATCATAGGGATGTGGAATATGGTCCTCCTGCTCTGAGTCAGCCTTTGGGTGGGGGCCACAGGACCGGTTGAGTCAGCCAGTTGTCAGAAATGCAAACATCTGAAAGGATCTCTCAAAAGACCAACCTTAGGTTCTGTAGTAGTAATGCTTCCTACAGGAGTGATTGGGAAATTTAGAAACCTTATGATCTCCCAGACAATGTCCGGTTATCTCAGGCCCCTCTGATAACCCTAACCTCATGGCTTTTCATTAGTTTTCAGAAGCAGTTTCGTTTTGGGAAAGGTTATTATCATCCTTGCTTTAATGTTAAACTATAAACTAAATTCCTCCCAAAGTTAGCTTTGCCTGTTCCCAGAAATGACAAAGGACAGCTTGGAGGTCAGAAGCAAGATGGCGTCAACTATGTCAGATTTCTCTTACTGTTCTAATTTTGCAAAGGCAGTTTCACTCCAGACATTCATTGCAGGCTGTAAAAGATGCTTTGGGTAGAAACTTGGTTTACTAAAATCTTTGGCTTATATAATTATTACATTCAGAAAATCTTGATTTCAGATCTGAAGGTTAAAGTAGGTACTTCATGGCTATAAAAAAAATGGACGTTGAATAGACTATTGCTAAAAATAGATGTCTTTATTGTCAAGATAAATTTAGTTTATGAAAGGCATTTTTCTCTGATGACTTTTTGGTATTCCAAGAAAATCAAATAGGCCCCCTAAAGGGATACTTGGTGCCTCTTAGCTTTTCAATTCCTACCTACCCAATCTTTCCATAAAAGATTTTACATCAACTCCCCAGCTCAGCCTTCAATCTAAAATGTTTTTGAAAGGAGGATAGTAGTATTTTGCGGTAATTGAGTGGTACAAAGTACTGCATATTGATTTGACCCGACTTCCTGCCCAAAACTATGCTTAACAGAGTGCTGTGTCACTGTCATTCATAAGGTCTGCCTCAGGGCAGTTGCTAAGCCATTTCTTCAGCTGTTTCCTGGCACTGCAGTGTCATCTTTCTGTGGTGTAGGAAACTTGCCCTTGACCACAAAATTGCAGTTTACTTTCCAAGCTAGTCTCTAATTCATAGCTGCTGCTTTCTAATTCTTTTGAGCCTCAGACTATTCGAAAATATGGACAGTTCGTAGTTCTGCTGCAGCAGCACAGAGAACAGCTGTATGCCTGCTTCAGCTTGGTTTATAAATACCTCACACTGTCCCTTTTGGCCCTACTTCTGTCTTTGGACAGCCAGTAATGGAAACAAACAGGACCAGCACTGGCAGGCATTTGGAAATCTTTGTTTTATTTTTAAATTTTACCTGTTCAGCCAAGTAGTCATATATCCTGCTTATGATAGGCAGAATTCTAAGATAGACCAGAATTCTAAAAATTTCTGGCCTCTAATGTACCTGTACATACATTCTCCCAATTATTCAATCAAACACCAATCTAGGTGTTGCTATAGAGGATTTTGAAACTGTAACTAAGGCCCCAAATCAATTGACCTTTGAGATAGATTTTTTTTGGGTGAGCCTGACCTAATCCACGAACCTTTAAAATCTGGCTTTAGCAATCAGAAACAGAAATGTCAGGTATTTGAGGTAAGGGAGATATTGGATGCAAGAGAGTTTCTTCGTGCTGCTTTTGAAAATGGTAGGGTCATATGGCAAAAGACTGAAAGCAACCCGAATTTTATCAACAACCAGAATGAACTTAAAAGAACTTTGAGCTTCAGATGAGGACACATCTTGCTGACACCTGCATTTCCTTGTGAGACCTCGAGCAGATAAACCAGGCATTCTTACAGAATTGTAAGATAATGAACGGGCATTGCTTTAAGCCTCAAAGTTTGTGGTAATTTGTTACATAGTATAGAAAAGCAACACATTGTGAGTTTACAAATGGTCATGTACTTTCCATGGTCTAGATTCTGCTCATGTCACCAAAGGAACGGAGGATGGTGAGGAGGAAGGCAAGCTGTTCACAGACCTATGAGGTCTGTGAGCAAGTCTGTCCAAGGAGTGCCCGCTCCCTTTGCTTCCTGTGGTGTGGACTGCCCAGAGCTAGAGGCAGCCTGCCCTGTTTGAGCACGCAACGACTAAAATAGCCTGCTGATGTCCTTCCTGACAGCTTCCCTCTGTTCTTGTTACTCCAAGCTACTTTGAACAACATAAGTAGATGACTCATCTCCTCTGAGCAAGGGTTCATTCATTTCTATGGGATGTGGCCCATGCCTTTCCTCTTTGATCCCTGGAAGAAAGGGCAGGGCCAGCCTCAGAAGCATTGCAGATCAAGCATTCTGATCCACTCCTGCTTCCAGGCTCCTAGCACTTCCACACTTGTCTCTTTTCCCCACAGCCCTCTCCTGCAGGAGGCCACCTCCAATCCTGTCTTCTTGAAGGATACCCCAAATTACCTGTCCATTATGTATCCTGTCTTCTTTATCTTAGCTGAGATTGATTGTACTAAAGTTACACAAGGAAAAACATTGAGAAGGAATTCACAGGGATGTGCATGAATGGTTGCCAGTTAGCCTGAAGTCTATTTGAATTGTAAAAGCATTTTTTTTCTTAAGAAAGCATACAGTTGGTGAACTTTCAGGATGCAAGGAGGATGTTTTTATTTCTGTGCGCTGTTGTTTTCTACGTAAATGTCTATATGAAGCTTGAGGAAGAAGACTTTTATCTTCTATATTGTATCGATTGAGCTTCCTGCAGTATCGTGGCTGTAGTTTGAGGCCCCTTGTGGTTTGTACCCATTTCCCTAATTGTTTCATGGTGTCGTAACCCCACCTGGGATTGATGAGCCTGTCATTTAAAGGATCTGAGTCTCCACGGAGGCAAGAGGAATTCAACAATTTGAGTGCTTCTTGGTTTGAGGAGTTCTACTGTCTAACTCCAAATATGTTCTTACAGACCTTTTCTGGATACCTATCTATCACTGCCTCAGGACCCAAACCCTGTTCCCACTTTTTGTTGTTGTTGTTGTTCTGAACTGTTAGGCCACAGAATGATTGTGGACCTCATAATGTGCAATCTACAGAACGTCAGCCACAGAATGATTTTTGGCCAGGATTTTGCTTCCCTGGGTAAAGCAGAGAAACTCTCCTGTGGGATCCTACCTCTCCAGTGCAGTCTGTGGGCACGGCTTTCCTAGTTAGTAAAAAAAATAAAGTAACTAGCATGATGATAGACTTTAACTCTATCAATAATTGCATTAAATATACATAATCTAAACACATCAATTAAGAGACCAAGATTGTCACATTGAATAAAAAAGCGAGACACAACTAGCAGAAAACCTACATATATGTGTGTGTGTGTATATATATAAAGACATAGACAATATTTTATATATAGATAGATAGATAGATAGACATAGACAAGTTAAAAATAAAAGGATGGAAAAGATATTACCATGTAAACACTAACCAAAAGAACCGTGAAAGGGCTGTGTTAATTTGGACAAAGTAAACTTCAGAACAAGCACTATTACTGGGAATAAAGGGGGATATTACATAAATATAGAGGGGTTAATTTAGATACACAAAAATAACAACTCGAAATATGCATGCATCTAACAATGGAGCTTCCGAATACTTGAAGCAAATATACCCTTAGGGCATGGGATTTTAAGAATGGAGTAAGGAGCTCAATGGACCACCTCAACAGACAGTACTTTAACTAATGAGAATTATTTTTTAAAAAGTTATTAAAGTTGCAGGAAATTATTCATTCAAAAAAATGTTGTAAATCTTCATAAGAACAGTGGCAGTCTCTGGCATTTGGGCTACAACCTATTCTATTATGCTCCCCACCACATACCCCTCAAGCCCCAGCTCCTTGTTATAGAAGCTCCCTCTAACCCCAGTTTATACTCTGGGACTGCAGTTTCACCCTGAGAAGGGAGGGCTGCTAGCATTTCTCATCATCTCCAACTTTATGTTGCAGAAGTTCTATTTCAGGCACATTTCAGAAAGGACTGGGTCTCTCTTCACCCACCCCACTCTAGGACAGATGCTGTATCCCAGATGCAGCAGGCCTGAAACCTGGGGAACCCAATCTTGCTCACCTCACTAGTAGGATAAGTTCCACACTAGGAAGAGCAAGCTGAGAAGACCAGGGTCTACCACCCCTTCCCCAGTGACCACTACTTGTACAGCAGGGCATCACTAGGGGAAAAGCATATCAGACAACACAGACTTTAAAACCAAAAAGTTACTACAAATAAAGATGGACATTTTATGATTACAAAAGGGTCAATCCAGGGAGATATAACAATTATAAACATATATATATATAACTAATAACAGAGACTCACCCAAAATATATGAAGCAAAACTGCCAGAACTGAAGGGAGAAATACACAATGCGACAGTAATAATGACAGTCTTCAGTATCCCCATTTTCAATAATGGCTATACCATCTAGGCAGAAGATAAAGATATAGAAGACTTGGAAAAAGTATAAACCAACTTGACTTGTAGACATCTGTAGAACACCATGCTCAACAACAGAATACTTATTCAGCTCAGGCATATGTAGAATGTTCTCCAAGATAGACCATATGCTAATCCATAATACAAACACTAGTAATTTTAAATGGATTTAAACAATACAGGCTGAACATTCCTAATCTGAAAATCCAAAATGCTCCAAAATCTGAATTTTTTTGTGTGCCAACATGATGCTCAAAGGAAATGCTTATTGAAGAATTGCAGATTCTCAGATTAGGGTTGCTTAACTGATAAGTGTAATGCAGATATTTCAAAATCTGAAAAAATCTGAAATTCAAAACACTCATGGTTCCAAGCATTTCAGGTAAGAGGGATACTCGTCCTGTACAAAGTATGTTCTCTGTCTTAATTTTCTACTGAAATAAATTGGAAATCAAAAAAGTCTTGGGATAATAAACATACTCCTTAATAATCAGTGAATCGAATAAATCAAAAGGGAAATTAGAAAATACTTCGAGATGAACAAAAACAAAACATATCAAAACTTACGGGATGCAGCAAAAACATTGCTGGGAAGGAAACATATACACACCAAAATATCTCAAATCAGAAACTTAACCTTCTCCCTAAAAAAACTAGCAAAAGAGCCAACTAAAGCAAACAGAAATAATAAAAACTAGAGGAAATAAATAAAATACAGAATAGAAAAACATAACAAAATCAACAAAACCAAAAGTTGGTTCTTTGAAAAGATCGAATTGTCAAACCTTTAGCTATACTGACCAGGGAATAAACAGAAAAGACTCAAATTACTAAAATCAGGAATGTAGGAGGTGACATTACTGTCAACTTTATAGAAAGAAGATTACAGGGCAATTTTATGAACAACTGTATGCTAATTCATTAACTTAGTTGAAATGGACAGATTTCCGGAAAGACCCAAAATACACAAACTGACTCACGGAGAAATAGAAAATCTGAATAGACTTATAACAAGTGAAATGTTTGCATTAGTCATTTAAAAACTTGCCAGAAAGTGGCTGGGCACGGCGGCTCACGCCTGTAATCCCTGCACTTTGGGAGGCGAGGCAGGCGGATCACGAGGTCAGGAGATCGAGACCATCCTGGCTAACGGTGAAACCCCACGTCTACTAAAGATACAACAAAAATTAGCCAGGCGTGTTAGTGGGCACCTGTAGTCCCAGCTACTCGGGAGGCTGAGGCAGGAGAATGGCGTGAACCCAGGAGGCGGAGCTTGCAGTGAGCCGAGATCGTGCCACTTCATTCCAGCCTGGGTGACAGAGCGAGACTCCATCTCAAAACAAAACAAAACAAAAACTTGCCAGAAAGCAAGCCCTGCTCCACATAGCTTTACTTAAGGATTCTATGAAACAATCAAAGAAGAATTAATACCAATTATTCCCAAACTCTTCCAAACAATAGAAAGGGAAACAATTCCCAGCTTAGTCTGTTAGATCTGTATTACCCTAATACCAAAACCAGACAAAGACACTACAAGAAAATATAGACAAATACTTCTGCTGAATATAGACGCAAAAATCCTCCACAAAATGCTAATAGATTATAAAAAGAATCTAGTGTACACCATGACCAAGTGACATTTATCTCAAGAATGCAGGGTTGGTTTAACATTGAAAAAATCAATACAGGGAAAACCAATAATCAAGTCAATAAACACAGAAAAAACATTTGAGATAATAACATCCTTTCATGATAATAATGCCTAACAAACTAGGATAGACGGGATTTTCTTCAACCTAATAAAGAGCATCTATGATAACCTGAAGGCTGACATCGTACTTAATGGTGAAAGAATGAAAAAATTCCCCCTACATCAAGAACAACACAAGGAGATCTATTCCTGTCACTTCTCTTCAACATTCTGTTCCAAGTTTGACCATGGCAATAGACCACATTACAATCTATCACAACATTGTGTGTGTTATCCAATTAATTTACTCCAAACATATCATGTTACTTGGGTGTGTGAACTTATGAGCTACTGTCTGGTAATGCGTATTGAGAAGGGCAGAAGGCCAAGCCCTGGTCTTTGTCTCTTCTTGTGAATTTAAAAGGAGAGATAATCCCCAAAATGGAGAGCCCCAGTTCCATACATACACATAAAAACTATTGATTGCCCCATATTTGTCACCACTCTTAACTGACAATGCTTAGGCAGAAGCATCGTGGGACAAAGGTGTCTTCCTAAATCATAGTTCAGTAGCCCTAGGACTGTGGAGGACCAGAGAGAGATGTTAGAGGAGAGCATTTCAAGGGCAGCTGCTCATCAACTCCTTACCCTGGCAAGCTTTTCTATTCTAGGTTGAAGGATCTGGCTCTATCTCAAGGCAGACAGGGAAGAAAGTGGAGAATAATAAAGTTCGGAAGCCTTCTCATAGCCTAGCCTCTCGTTGTCAGCTCAGGCTGCCCATTGACACTCACTTTCCTTTGCCTGCCACTTTAAGGCAGCCTTCAGTTCTCCCAAGGGCTTCTCACTGTTTTTTGGTTATTTCTTGGAGTCAGTACCTCCCTCTAACTTCTAAATTTTTTCAGCATTATTGTTGTGGGGAAGGAAGATGGCAGGAAGAGCCAGCATGTACTAAATCACTATCTTTAAGGAACCTAAATTAGCCCCTGATTAATTTGTTGCTTTTTTTTAAAATTATTTTAAATTTTTGTGGGTACATAGTAGATATATATATTTATGGATTACCTAAGATATTTTGATACAGGTATGCAATGCATAAAAATCACATCAAGGTAAATGGGATAGTCATCACCTCAGTCATTTATCTTTTGTGTTACCAACAATCCATTTATATTATTGTAGTTATTTAAAAGGTACAGTTAATTTTTTTTTTAACTGTAGTCACCGTGTTGTGCTAGGAAATGCTAGGTCTTATCCATACTTTCAGTTTCTTTATACGTATTAATCATCCCCATTTCTACCCATCCCCGCTGCTATCCTTCCCAGCCTCTGGTAACCATCCTCCTACTCTCTATCTCCATGAGTTCAATTGTTTTGATTTTTAGCTCCCACAAATAGTGAGAACATGGAAAGTTTGTCTTTCTGGGTCTGGCTTATTTTACTTAACATAATGTTCTCTAGCTCCATCCAGGTTGTTGCAAATGACAGGATCTCATTATTTTTCATGGTTGAATAGTACTCCATCGTGTATATGTACCACATTTTTTTTATCCATTCATCTGGTAATAAACACTTAGGTGGCTTCCAAATCTCGGCTATTGTGAATAGTGCTGTAATAAACATGGGAGTACATAAAACGCTACAATATACTGATTTCCTTTATTTTGGGTGTATACTCATGACTGGGATTGCTGGATTGTATGGTAGCTCTACTTCTAGTTTTTTGAGGAACCTCCAAACTGTTGTTCCTAGTGTTTGTACTAATACATTCCCACCAACATTCCCTTTTCTCCATATCCTTGCCAGTATTTGTTGTTGCCTTTTGGATAAAGCCATTTTAATTGGAATCAGATATCTCATTGTGGTTTTGATTTGCACTTCCCTGATAGTCATATTGAGCATTTTTTATATACCTCTTTGTCATTTGTATGTCTTCTTTTGAGAAATACCTATTCAGATACTTTGCCCATGTTTTAACCAGGTTATTAGATTTTTTCCTTTAGAGTCATTTGAGTTCCTCATATATTCTAGTTATTATTAATCCCTTGTCAAATAGGTAGTTTGCAAATATTTCCTCCCATTCTGTGAGCTGTCTCTTAACTTTGTTGATTGTTTCCTTTGCTGTGCAGAAGCTTTTTAAGTTGATATGATCCCATTTGTCCATTTTTGCTTTGGTTACTGGTGCTTGCGGAGTATTACTCAAGAAATCTGTGCCCACTCCAACGTCCTGGAGAGATGCTAACTAATGTCCCTTTCTTTCAGTTTGAAAGAACTCCCATTAGCATTTCTTGTAAGATATATCTGATGTTAGTGAAATCCCTCAGCTTTTGTTTGTCTGGGAACGTCTTTATTCCTCTTTCATATTTGAAGGATATTTTCGCTGGAAAGGATATTTTTGCCAGATATACTATTCTAGGGTAAAAGTGTGGGGGTTTTTTTTGTTGTTGTTGCCTTCAGCACTTTAAGTATGTCATGCCAGTCTCTCCTGGCCTGTAAGATTTCTACTGAAAAGTTTGCTGCCAGGTATTGGAGCTCCATTGTACCTAATTCTGTTTCTTTTCTCTTGTTAATTTTAGGATCCTTTCTTTATCCTTGATTTTTTAAAGTTTGATTATTAAATGCCTTGAGGTAGTCTTTGAGTTAAATCTGCTTGGTGTTCTATGACCATCTTGTAGTTCAATATTAATATCTTTCTCCAGATTTGGGAAGTGTTCTGTTATTATCACTTTAAATAAACTTTCTACCCCTATTTCCTTCTCTACCTCCTCTTTAAGGCCATTAACTCTTAGATTTCCCCTTTTGAGGCTATTTTCTAGGTCCCGTAGGTATGCCTCCTTTTTAATTCTTTTTTGTTTTCTCTCCTCTGACTGTATTTTCAAATAGCCTGTCTTCAAGCTCACTAATTCTTTCTTCTGCTTGATCAATTCTGCTATTAAGAAACTCTGATGCAGTCTTCAGTATGTCAGTTGCATTTTTCAACTCTAGAATTTCTGCTTGATTGTTTTTAATTATTTCAGCGTCTGTATTAAATTTGTCTGATAGAATTCTTAATTCCTTCTCTATGTTATCTTGAATTTCTTTGAATTTCCTCAAAACAGCCATTTTGAATTGTCCGTCTGGAAGGTCACATATCTCTGTTTCTCTCGGATTGGTCCCTGGTGCCTTATTTAATTCATTTAAGGAAGTCATGTTTTCCTGGCTGGTCTTAATGCTTGCAGATGTTCATCAGTGTCTGGGCATTGAAGAGTTAGGTATTTATTTTAATCTTCACAGTCTGGGCTTGTTTGTACCCCTTCTTCTTGGGTAGGCTTTCCAGATATTCAGAAGGACTTGAGTGTAGTGATCTAAGCCATATCTGCATTAGGGGGCACCCCAAGCCCAGCAACACTGTGGTTCTTGCAGACTTGTAGAAGTACCATCTTGGTGGTCTTGGATAAGATCAGGAAGCATTCTCTGGATTACCTGGCAAAGATTCCTGTTCTCTTTCCTTACTGTCTCCCAAACAAACAGTCTCTCTCTCTCTGTGCTGAGCCACCTGGATCTGGGAGTGGAATGACAAAGCATCCCTGTGGCCACCACCACTGGAACTGCACTGGGTCAGACCTGAAGCCAACACAGCACTGAGTCTCGCCCAAGGCCCACTGTAACCACTCCCTGGCTTCCAGGTGTGTTTCTTCAAGGCCCTAGGACTCTAAAATCAGCAGATAGTGAAGCCAGCCAGGTTTGTGTCCTTCTCTTCAGGACAGTGAGTTCCCCCAGGTCCCAGGTGGGTCTGTAGGTGTGTCCAGACCAGTCCAGACCAGGGACTGGAGTCAAACACCTTAGAAATCTACCTAGTGTTCTGTTGTCCTGCAGCTGAGCTGGCCTTCAACCCATTTGATGCAGTCCTACCCACTCTTCCCTCCCCTTTCCACAGGCAGAAGATC
Organism: Homo sapiens; assembly: GCF_000001405.40. Classification (NCBI taxonomy): domain Eukaryota; kingdom Metazoa; phylum Chordata; class Mammalia; order Primates; family Hominidae; genus Homo; species Homo sapiens. Next base: position 787,654 of record NW_025791765.1, on the reverse strand, counting down.
CCTACCCCATGGCCACCACCACCACAAGCCCACGGAGAATACCGCCAGGCTACCACCAGTATTCACTTAAAGCCCAAGGGCTCTTCAGTCAGCTTGTGGTAAATGCTGCCAGGTCTGGGACTCACCCTTCAGGGAATTGGGCTCCCTCCCCAATCCACAGCAGCCCTATCCTGCTGTGGCTGAGCTGGTATCCAAGATGCAAGACAAAGTCCTTGTTTCTCTTCCCCCTCCTCTCCTCTGTCAAGCAGAAGAAAGGGATCTCTTTCAGAGCTGTGAGCTGTGCTGCCTGGGGTTGGAGGAGGAGTGGTGCAAGCACTCCCTTGGGCACCCCAGCTCATGTCTCAGTAGGTTGCATGCCCCCCAAGTCTACTGGCTCCAAGCCCAGCACGGCACTAGGACTCTCTTAGGAATTGCGGTGCTTGTGGCCTAGACTGCCTTTCAAATTTATTTAGGGCCCCAGAACACTTTAGCCTGAGGTGGCAAGGCTAATGGGAACTCAAGTTAGGACTGCTAGAGTTCATCTAAATGCTGTCTCCTTGGGCAGGCGACCGCTGAGTTCAGCCAGATTTTGCTTTCTGCTGTGACAGGGCAGCACTGAGTTCATGGCAAAGTCTCACAGTCGCTGCACTGTCCCTCTCCCAAGTGCACAGACTCTCTCTCTGTGCCACTTGGCTGCTGCCGGGTGGAGTGGGGTAGGTGGGAAAGGGTGGCATCAGCGATTCAAGATTTTCTTCCCTACCCTCTTCATTGCCTCTTTCAGTGATATGAAGTTAAAACCAAACCAAGTACTGTGAGTGCTCACCTGATTTTTGGTTCTTATGAAGGTGATTTTTTTGGCATAGAGAGTTGTTAAATTTAGTATTTCTGTGGGGAGAAGGGACAATGAAGGTGGAGCCTTCTATTTGGCCATCATGCCCTGCCCTTCCACCTGCATTCCATTTTCTTAAACTATTGAAAATTATCAGCTGTTCACTGTTTATCAACTTTCCCAAGTCTTGAATTAGAGGTGAGCAACTAAATTGAAGAAAAGGTAGAGACAGAACTTCTTGAAGAACAAAAGCATGGTGGACAGTTGAACGAAATATAAAATGAAGTTCTGGCTCTGCGTTTTCAACTGCTTGGGATTTGAGGTTTATATGCATACTTTAAATGTGAATTACAAAATGTAAAATTTCGAAAACCATGGACCAAAATGATTGCATGAGGAGAGGACCTTGTGAAAGAAGGGTGTATATTTGAATTAGAAATGAGGGTTTGGATTGGTATAGGAGGATAGGGAAAAAAAACACAGGGCAGGCAGATTAGCAGAGCCGTGGGGGACTTGCCCATGGAACTAGCCTGGCTCAGGTGGAAGGTCTGGATTGAAAACAGGGTTACTTGTTTAGGTTGGGTCATGTGAGATTAGGAAGGAACCTAGTAACTAGTGGGTGTGTATAGGTAGTTAGAAAAAGCAAGGAAGCTATAGAAGTTAGGAGGCCTGTACCAATAAGATTAGCTACAGAAGTAGTAAGTGGACTATAGAATAAAGTTTCACTTCTAAGGCAAACCATGGCATGGATGCCAAGGGAGTCATTAAAATGGATTTGTGGATTTCAGACCATTGAGTGTGTTTAGGTTTGACAAGAGGCAGTTCAGTACTGGCGGTTAAAGCGCAGACTAGACCCAGAAGACTTAGATTCACATCCAGGTTCCAAGTGTGCCTTTGACAAGTTAATTAACTTTTCTGTGCCCCAGTATTCTCATCTATGAAATGAGTATAGTAAAAGCCCCTAACTCACAAGATTTCCTCACACAACTTTGCTACTCAGTTTCTGCTCCTAAAATGAAGAGCACGTATCTGTGGAATTTGAGAAGAGGACACAATTGGTAGGAGGCCGGGTGGTGGTACAGAAAGAAAGAAAAGGAACTGACCATTTTGTGCCCCGTCCGCCGCCTCACTGGGTTCTGAGCCTCAGGGATGAAACTTGCTTCACTGTATCCCAGCACCTGGCACTGTACGTGACATAATTGGCACTCAGGAAATATTTATTGAAAGACTAAATGCATTTTTATGTGTAATTTTAAATATAAATTCAGAAAGCATTTTAATATATTTAGCTATGTATTTGTCTAACAATTTTGATTAATTTTTTAACAACTAGAAATAATCAGAATTATCTGTGAAATATTTGTGATAATTTTCTTTTTGTTTTACAGACCAGTTGGAATGCCAAAAATGGAAAAAGTCTACTTACATAATCCTAGTTCTGAAGAAACGATTACTTTAGTATCAATATCTGCTACAACATCACATTTTCATGCATCATTTTTTCAAAATAGGGTAAGTTTCTCTGCTATACATGATCTTTCCTGAGTTTGAAGTTGAAATGTCTAGATTTTTATTGATTAATAACTTGCTGTGATTAGAATTGGGTTTGAATATTTCAAATCTGTTCCTAGATTTGTTTCACTTCCTAAGAATGATTACTTCTACCCTTAACCATATTGTTTTTCTCAACATGCAACAGCTTAACAAATCAGCAGTGAACCTTAAATACTCTGAAAAAGGTAGCATTCTTACATTCAGTACATTTTATTTTCCTTCCTAATAATAGGTAATTCCTTCGCATTGTGTTAGTTGTTTCTTGCTACATAATAAATTACCACAAACTTGAGACTTGTGGCAACAGCCACTTAGCACACAGTTCTGTAAACTGTAAGCACACTGGGTTGTTTGTTCAGTGTATCAGGCTGAATTAAGATGTCTTCCGGGCTGAGTCCTTGTCCAGAGGCTCTGAGGGGAAATCACTTCCAAACTCATTAAAGTTGTTGAGAGAATTAGGTTCCTTGTGGTTGTAGAACTGAAACCCTTGTTTCGCTGCTGGCTCTTGGTCAGTGACCCCTCTCAGCTCCTCAGGGCCTCCAGGTTCCTTCTCACGGGCCATCCATCTTCAAGCCAGCAACAGCGCATCTTTCCCCTGGCACTTTGTACCTCTCTGGTGTCCTCTTCTGCCTCCAGTGAGAAAACTCTGCTTTAAAGGGCTCCTGTCAGTGGGTCAGGACTCTCTGGATAGTCTCCCTTTTGATTAACTGAAAGGCAACTGGTTGGGAGCCTTAATTACATCTTAGTCACAGCCTCAGAGATTAGGGTATAAAGTCTTGGGCTCCAATTTAAGGTTCTCCTTACCACAAATATCCTCTAAAATTTTATTTGTAATTTTCATAGGAAGTATGTAAACTCATTATTAAAAACTTTCTCTGACCAAATAAATAAAAATGGTATCTTAAGTACATTTTAAATTTGAGAGAATACCTAAAACTTTAATATATAGGTTTCCAAAATAATTAACAAAATAACAAAGATCAGAGGGAAGTAAATGAATAGGACCGAATTTCATCTTCCCAGAATTTTCACTGACTCCTTTGAAGGGATGTGATTGAGTAACAAAGAAGAAACCTTTTTAGCCATGTAAGATATTGGTTGCTACATTTTTATATCATTTATTTGATGTTTACATTTCTCCTCTCTAAAATCCTGTTTCATCATATGTTGTTTACTTTAGAGTAAAATTAAAAAGCATAACTTTTTCATTTAAAGGTATTTTATAAACAAGGGACTGATAAATCAGCATATTACTTCTGGTAATAAAAAGTTTAATTTTGGGGGGATCTTTGTGGAAATATCCCTTTTCTAAATTATTTCTTAAAATAGCTTTCCCTTGAGTTATTCTTTGTTATCTAAAAGATATTTCCACACTTTTTATAAATGTGCTATTAATAATAGCCTCCAACAATATAATTCTAATGCTGTGAGAGACCTGTGTATACACAGGCCGAGCTCCAGAGAGGCCTGTTCCAGTCATGCAGTGAGTGACAGGTGCCAAGGTGAAGGTGTCGGTGTTCTATTATCATCCCCAGTGATTTATATCATATTACACTTCAGTGAGTGGCCTGTACCTAATAGCTTCTATAGAGAGATGTATTTATGTGTAATGAAACCATCCAGCTTTCAGGCATTGTCAGTATGCAGAGACAGGTTAGGTTAAAGGGCAAAATTGTGAAGTAAAAATGGAATCAGTTAAAAAATAGTTCACAATTGCACTATACATTTTATTTCTAACTTGTTAACTTTTTGCTAAGTCAAGCAATATTTTGTTGTTTCTGAACACTTCAAGCTTCACCTGTGTTAAAGGCCAGGGTTTTTATTTTTTTCATTGCTACCGTAATACAGAGACTAGAACAAGAGTTGCAAACAGATTCTTAAACTGGGCTAGGTAAACAATATAAATGAGGGAAGCAAGCCAAGTGGGATGTGGGGGTGTCCTAGAGAACATGTGACCCATTCGAAGAGATCAGCCCCCACCGGGCTCCAGCCCAGTGGTTACCATGTTGGGAGTCTAAGCCCATGTGCAGTTCTGCTGATTCCCAAGAAGAGTCAGAAATAAGAAGTTTCATGTATCTGCCAGTCTTTACACATTGAAAATCAGTTCAATTTTAGAAAGACAGTATGGGCCAAACAACATAGGCTAAAGGCTACTAACTTGACGTTTCTGAACTAGACTCTCCCAGGGACTATTTCTATATATGAATGTTAGGCAAAGAGAATAGTTTCTCTGGAAATTTTTTAAAAGATAAACTAAATGTGTAGGTAATCAAGGAACAAGTTAACCAATCTGTTTTGTGCTGTCAGATGATGGAATTAAACAATAAAAATAATTACACCTATCAAAATCCACATTTAAATAGTCAAGATTTAGCTCAAAGGAGATAGCCAAAATCTTTACTCTCTCCTCTTATCCTTTTTTCTTCTTCTTGCTTTGCATCTTTTTTTCCCTACAATAAGACACTGACTTAAGCTCGAGACGTAGAGGGGAGAGATAGAATGAACTCTTGGGGGAAGAAATAACCTATTTCCTCTCCACTTCAGCTTTATGCCAACAATAAGAGCCTTGGGGAAAGATGAATAGAGTTTCTTATGTCGAGGAGAGCAAAATCTTTCTGTATGTTTACTCTAATTGCCTTTGTCATGCTCGGAATTCCTGGTCAGGTCTTATTTCTTTGACAATAAAACATTGTCTATAACTCAGAGTTTTTAGTTATTAACTGTTATCTGTACGTTAACCAAAAAGTAGGAAATACAGAAAAGACTATTTTTTAATTATTGTTCAAACTAAGTTTTACATAATTATATTTTAACACGCACATGCAAGTAATCTTGTTAAGGTTTTGATTTTAAGACCACCTGAAAATCAAAAAGAATAGAAATACTAAGAGAGGTACGGGGTATGGTTGTATGACAATTTATTTCTCTGTATATAAGTTTTTGTAATTATCTATAATTATCTGTTAATTGAATATAATTATCTAATTATAATTCAAAATTATGTAATAGACTGCATTTAGGCCATTCATCTTTCATGGCCATATTATATATAGGCCATAAAATATGCAATATATGTTTTGCATCAGAAAATACAGAATTTTATAATAATATTCTATACAAGTCCAATTGTGGAAATGGGGTGCCTTACACACAGTAGGAAACAAAAATGTTTTCTTTATTGACTAGAAGCTTTTGATTAATTAAATTTTCAGACAAACTGAAGATTAGGACAAACTTTGTTTCAGTCTGTGACTAAAATTAAAATGTTATAGTTCACTTATTTCAGTATACTTAATGATCAATCTCTTCTCATGGGTTGAAGGGTGTTAATAAATATTAATGATTATTTTAATTAGATATAGAAGGACATTATTCTATTGATTCCATGCATGTTTTTGGGAATTTAACAAAATGCGATGTAGCAATAGTATGGAATTTTATGCAGATAATAAAGAGAATGAAATAGGTCTCTGTCTATTGATCTGGAATAATATACATGACATGCTAATATGTAAGAAAAGCATATTGTAGAGTAGAATATAATGCCTTTTTTTTTTTTTTTGAGACAGGGTCTCTCTCTGTCACCCAGGCTGGAGTGCAGTGGCATGATCTCAGCTCACTGCAACCTCTGCCTCCTGGTTCAAGCAATTCTTGTGCCTCAGCTTCCCCAGTAGCTGGGACTACAAGCACCTGCTACCACACCCAGCTAATTTTTGTATTTTTTGGTAGAGATGGAGTTTTGCCATGTTGGCCAGGCTGGTCTCAAACTCCTAGCCTCAAGCAATCTGCCTGCCTCAGCCTCCCAAAGTGCCGGGATGACAGGCGTGAGCCACCGTGCCTTGCCTATAATGCCATTTTTATTAAAAGCAAAAAATCTGTGTATATTTATTTGGGTATATTAATAAGAGCCGGAATAAAGCACAGATTTGCCAGGTTGACTGGATAACCTAATAATGGTGAGAATGGAGGAAGTTTGAGTGTATTAGCTTTTTATTCAGTCATCTTTGCACTGTATCACTAAGTAAAATAAGCACTTGTTACTTTTGCAGTTTAAAACATACAAGAAAATGTAAATTAAAAATAGTTTTGCCACCCCACCTATGTGGAAAGAAGGAATTAATTTAACAAATATTTATGAAGTGTCTACTTAAAGTGCCAGGCACTTTTGTTTTTACCAGTGAAAACAGAGATGCTTATCATACATACTCTGGGGAGTTTGGGTGAAGTCAGCAGCAGAGGGAAGGCAAGCATGATAAATAAGTAAATTTTATAAGATCTTAGAAGATGTTACAAGGTCAGAAGAAAAGTATAAGATCAGAGACTTAGGTGTGCACAGGGAAGGCGGTACCATTTTAAATAGGGTGGTCAGGGTAGGCTTTATTCAGAAGGTGACATTTGAACAAAGACTCGAAGGGCGTGAGGTAGGACTGTTTGGAGGAAAGTGAAATATATGGAAGAAGAGCATTCTAGCCGGAAGGACCAAGCAGTATAAAGTCTCCATTGTTGAAAGCAGGCCTGTTGTGCAAAGACAGCCAGACCAGAGTGAGCATGGGTGAGAGGAGAAGTAAGGGGGCAGACTATGAAGGGTCTTACAAACTATGGTTTGACTTGACTCTTTTTCCTGAATGATGTGGAAAGCCATCAAAGGGTTTTGAACAGAGGAATGAAATTGTAGCTTTAGGTTTTAATAGGATCATTGTTCATCAAAAATAGGACAAGGGACACCAGTCACATTGGCTGTTGTCATACTCCAGGGTAAGAAGATGATTAGATGATTACTCTGACCAGAGTGGTACGTGGAAGAGGTGAAGAAAGGAGTTGGACTTGGGATACAGGGATACCTTGGAGATATTATGGGTTCCGTTCCAGACCACTGCAGTAAGCCAGTCACAGAATTTTTTTGTTTCCCCATATATATAAAAGTTATGTTTATACTATACTGTGGCCTATTAAGTGCAGTAGCATTGTGTCTAAAAAATGTACATACCTTAATTTCAAAAATACTTTATTGCTAAAAACTGCTGATGATCATGTCAGCCTTCTGCAAGTCGTCATCTTTTTGCTGGTGGAGGGCCTTCCCTCAATGTTGACAGCCACTGACTGATCAGGGTAGTGGTTGCTGAAGGTTGGGATGGCCGTGACAGTTGCTTAAAATAAGACAGCAGTAAAGTTTGCCACATTCATTGATTCTTCTTTTCACAAAAGATTTCTCTGTAGCGTGCAATGCTGTTTAATAGCACTTTACCCACAGCAGAAATTCTTTCAAAATTGGAGTCAATCCTTTCAAACCCTGCCTCTAAGTTTATGTAGTATTCTAAGTTCTTTGCTGTCATTGTCAGCATATTCACAGCATCTTCACTAGGAGTAGATTTCATCTCACGAAACCACTTTTTTTGCTCATCCCTAAGAAACAACTCCTCTTCCGTTCAAGTTTTATCATGGGATTGCACAAATTCATTCACATCTGCAGATGCCACTTCTAATTCTTTTCTCTTGCTGTTTCTACCACATCTACAGTGACTTCTCCACTGAAGTCTTGAACCCTTCCTTCAAAGTCATCCATAAGGGTTGGGATTAACTTCTTCCAGCCTCCTATTGTTGACATTTTAACCTTCTCCCATGAATCACAAATGTTCTTTTTTTTTTTTTTTTTTCCAAGACGGGGTCTCACTCTGTCGCCCAGGCTGGAGTGCACTGGCACAATCTTGGCTCACTGCAACCTCCGCCTCCCAGGTTCAAGCAATTCTCCTGCCTCAGCCTTCTGAATAGCTGGGATTATAGGCCCGTCCCACCACTGCCAGCTACATTTTTTTTTTTTTTTTTTTTTTTAGTAGAGATGGGATTTCACCATGTTGGCGAGGCTGGTCTCGAACTCCTGACTTCAGGTGATCCACCCGCCTCAGCCTCCCAAAGTGCTGGGATTACAGACTTGAGCCACTGTGCCCAGCTGCAAATGTTCTTAATGGCATTTAGAATGGTGACTCATTTCCAGGAGGTTTTCAATGGACTTTGCCCAGATCCATCAGAGGAATCACCCTTTGTGGCAGCTATAGCCTTAAGCAGTGTATTTCTTCAATAAGAAGACTTGCAACTTGAAATTACTCCTTGATCCTTGGCTGAAGAATGGATGTTGTGTTAGCAGTCATGAAAACAACGTGCATCTTCTTGTACATTTTCATCAGAGCTCCTGGGTGACCAGTTGCCTTGTCACTGAGCAGTAATATTTGGAAAGAAATCTTTTTTCTGAGCATTAGGTCTCAACAGTGGATTTTAAATATTCAGTAAACCATGTTATAAATAGATGTGCTGTTATCTAGGCCTTGTCCATTTATAGAGCACAGGTAGAATAGATTTAGCACAGTTCTTAAGGTCTCTAGAATTTTCAGAATGGCAGATGAGCACTGGCTTCAACTTAAAGCCACCAGCTGTGTTAGTCCCTAATAAGAGAGAGTCAGCCTGTCCTTTGAAGCTTTGAAGCCAGGCACTGACTTCTCTTTAGATGGTATCTTCCAACAGAAGGCTGCTTGATCTACATGGAAAATTTGTTGTTTAGTGTGGCCACGTTCATCAATGATCTTAGCTAGATCTTCTGGATAACTTGCTGCAACTTGTACATCAGCATTTAATGCTTCACCTTGCACTTTTATGTGATGGAGCTGGCTTCTTTTCTTAAACCTCATGAATCGATCCCTTTTAGCTTTCAGCTATTCTGCAGCTTCCTCCCCTCTCTCAGCCTTCACAGAATTAAAGAGAGTCAGGGCCTTGCTCTGGATTAGACTTTGGCTTAAGAGAATGGTATGGCAAGGCCAGGCGTGGTGGCTCACGCCTGTAGTCCCAGCACTTTGGGAGGCTGAGGCAGGTGGATCACCTAAGGTCAGGAGTTCGAAACCAACCTGGCCAACGTGGTGAAACCCCATCTCTACTAAAAATACAAAAATTGGGTGTGGTGGTGTGCACCTATAATCTCAGTTACTCAGGAGGCTGAGGCACAAGAATCGCTTGAACCTGGAAGGCAGAGATTGCAGTGAGCCAAGACCACGCCATTGCACTCCAGCCTGGGCATCAAGCGAAACTCCATCTCAAAAAAAAAAAAAAAAAAAGAGAATGCCGTGGCTGCTTAGCTCTTCCATCCAGACCACTAAAGCTTTATCCCTATCAGCAATAAGGCTGTTTTCCTTCTTTACCACATGTGTGTTCACTGGAATAGCATTTTTAACTTCCTTCAACAACTTTTCCTTTGCATTCACAGCTTGGCTGTTTGGCACTAAAGGCCTAGCTTTGAGCCTCTCTTGGCTTTGAGCATGTCTTCCTCACTAACCTTATTTCCAGATTTTGGGTTAAAGTGAGAGATGTGCAACCCTTCCTTTTACTCCAACACTTACAGGCCATTGTAGGGCTACTAATTGGCCTAATTGTAATATTATTGTATCTTAGGAATAGGGAAGCTTGAGGAGAGGAAGGGAGTTGGGAGAACAGCAGTTGGTGGAGCAATGAGAACACACATAACATTTTTCGATTTAAGCTTGCCATCTTATGTGGGCATAATTTGTGGTGCCCTAAAACAATTTCAGTAGCAACATCAAAGATCACAGATCACCATGCAGATATAATAATAATGAAAAATTTGGAAATATTGCAAGATTGCCAAAATGTGACACAGAGATAGAAAGTGAGTACATGGTGTTGGAAAAATGACACTGATAGACTTGCTTGATGCGTGGTTGCTACAAACCTTTAATTTGTCAAACA